>NC_000003.12:87585757-87888787 GCF_000001405.40 Homo sapiens
CAGGGATCTCTCTGTCTTGCTTACCACATTTTCTGGAGCACCTGTAGCAATGACTGGCCCACAGCCAATACTGATGGATGCTTAAAGAACTTTTTCATATCTTTAGGATGACTATTTTTCTAGTTTAAGATTAGTAACAATAATAAATACTTCATTGAATGCTTACTAGGTGCCAAGTACTGAGCTAAAAAATTTACATTTATTAATTCATTTAAACATAACAAATTCCCTGAGGTGAGTATAGACATTATTTCTATGTTAAAGAAGAAGAACGTGAGAAGTTTAGGAAGATTGAGTGATTTGTCAAAGGTCACAGAATAAGTAAATGGTAAAGACTGGATTGTATCTCACTTGAAAAAACTAAGATTGGACTGTATCTCACTTCAAAGAACTATACCCTTTTGCACCTCAGTCTACTGACTCAACTAAATTTTCTACGTTTACCAATATAGGGTCAAATTTCCAGTGACATGTAATAAATGAATAAAACACAATTCCATGCTTTTAAAGTTTAATATTTCAAGCAACCAAATCCTTTTGAATACATATGGAGCATTCTATTTTGCTAATTCCTCATGGTTTCTCATTTATACTCAGTGATGTGCTTGACTTTCACTGTAAAACTACAAATCACACAGAAGTCATATTCAGTCTTTTATCATCCAAGATTTTCTGTTCTCAACAATAATATATTCACTTGTGTGGAAAGTCTTCCATCAGTAGGTCTTGAAAAGTGCAGGATCTCAAACTCTGAGTGTACCTCAGTGAGGCCACTACATATAATACATAATGGCAGTATTTAGGCTTGATGCCTCCAATTGTTACTAGACAATATAGAATTAGAAACATCAGAAAGAACTCTTTTCTAAACAAAGGAGCAGCTTTCAAAATGTCTTCAAACCATATCTTTTTTTCTTTCTTTCTTTTTTTTTTGAAACAAGGTCTCACTCTCTTGCCCAGGATGTAGTGTAGTGACATGAGGCTCACTGCAGCCTCAACTTCCTGGGTTCAGGTAATCCTCCCACCTCAGGTCCCTGAGTAGCTGGGACTACAGGCATGCACCACTACCCTTGGGCTCCAGTGATCCTCCAGCCACAGCCTCCCAAAGTGCTGGGATTACAGTCATGAGCCACCATGCCCAGCCCAAACTATTTCTGTAGGTAACTTTTGTTTTGTCAAACAAGTATCCAGCAAATGAAGGAGTCTCTCATTCTCTCAGTTTTCCACACATTTCAGTCTTCTAACTTGTTTTGTGCCTTCTCCCTTTTCTCCTAAAGATGATACCAATACCCCATTAGTTCTTTGGGTCCTGAAATGGTGGTGTGACTCTGAGCTTATGTAGAAAAGTATTTATTAAAGATTTGCTCTTCATCTAAAACACTGCAACTATTTAAACATAGAAAAAATAGCATTAAAAAAAGATGTAGATCCCCTTGTCAAGCCAGAATTGACAGCACTCAATATTCCAAAGCATAAACTACCTATTCGTATGTTTGCCTTTTGACAGAGTTAAGACAAAATATGTGTGGAGTTGGTAGCAGAGGGCAGAAAGCAAAAAAAATTCAAGAAAATATAAAAAAGAGCCTGCATTGCCAAGTCAATCCTAAGCCAAAAGAACAAAGCTGGAGGCATCACGCTACCTGACTTCAAACTATACTACGAAGCTACAGTAACAAAAACAGCATAGTAATGGTACCAAAACAGAGATTTAGACCAATGGAACAGAACAGAGCCCTCAGAAATAATGCCACATATCTACAACCATCTGATCTTTGACAAACCTGACAAAAATAAGAAATGGGGAAACAATTCCCTATTGAATAAATGGTGCTGGGAAAACTGGCTAGCCATATGTAGAAAGCTGAAACTGGATCCCTTCCTTACACCTTCTACAAAAATTAATTCAGGATGGATTAAAGACTTACATGTTAGACTTAAAACTATAAAAACCCTAGAGGAAAACCTAGGCAATACCATTCAGGACATAGGCATGGTCAAGGACTTCATCTCTAAAACACCAAAAGCAATGGCAACAAAAGCCAAAATTGACAAATGGGATCTAATTAAATTAAAGAGCTTCTGCACAGCAAAAGAAACTACCATCAGAATGAACAGGCAACCTACAGAATGGGAGAAAATTTTTGCAATCTACTCATCTGACAAAGGGCTAGTATCCAGAATCTACGATCAACTTCAACAAATTTACAAGAAAAAAACAAACAACCCCATCAAAAAGTGGGTGGAGGATATGAACAGACACTTCTCAAAAGAAGACATTTATGCAACCAAAAGATACATGAAAAAATGCTCACCATCATTGGCCATCACAGAAATGCAAATCAAAACCACAATGAGATACCATCTAACACCAATTAGAATGGCTATCATTAAAAAGTCAGGAAACAGCAGATGCTGGAGAGGATGTGGAGAAATAGGAACACTTTTACACTGTTGGTGGGACTGTAAACTAGTTCAAACATTGTGGAAGTCAGTGTGGCGATTCCTCAGGGATCTAGAACTAGAAATACCATACCCAAAGGATTATAAATCATGCTGCTATAAAGACACATGCACACATATGTTTATTGTGGCACTATTCACAATAACAAAGACTTGGAACCAAGCCAGATGTCCAACCATGATAGACTGGATTAAGAAAATGTGGCACATATACAACATATACACCATAAAATACTATGCAGCCATGAAAAATGATGAGTTCATGTCCTTTGTAGGGACATGGATGAAGCTGGAAACCATCATTCTCAGCAAACTATTCCAAGGACAAAAAACCAAACACCACATGTTCTCACTCATAGATGGGAATTGAACAATGAGAACACATGGACACAGAAAGGGGAACATCACACACTGGGGCCTGTTGTGGGGTTGGGGGGAGCGGGAGGGATAGCATTAGGAGATATACCTAATGTTAAATGACAAGTTAATTGGTGCAGCACACCAATATGGCACATGTATACATATGTAACAAACCTGTACATTGTGCACATGTACCCTAAAACTTAAAGTATAATTTAAAAAAAAAGAAAATAGGTCAGCAGGGACTCCTTAATAGGACAACACAGCAAAGTATGCAAAATTATGAAAAGGTATATTTAGAACATCTAGGTTTTTCTCAAGAAAATGGGACTTAAAATTTTGAATATGAAAAACCTAGTTGATCATATATTCATCTAAGAAACCTATACAAAGTAGAATTCATAAAATATGTTATCATTAAGTTTTTAATATTAATGTTTACTTATATTAGCAGGAATGCCAATGTAAAGTTTCTAAGCCAAGGCAAATTTATTCACAGCACGAAAAACATCAATTCCTGATGCTCTATTTCTTTCCTTTTTAGTAGATATGACATTTAAGTCAAATGGACTCTGCAAAAGTTGGTGTATTTGTCCTTTTTCATGCTGCTTATAAAGACATACCCAAGACTGGGCAATCCATAAAGGGAAGAGGTTTAATTGACTCACAGTTCAGCATGACTTGGGAGGCCTCAGGAAACTTATGATCATGGTGAAAGGGTAAGGAAACAAGTCCTTCTTCACATGGCAGCAGCAAAGAGAATAATAAAAAAAAGGGACGGAAAACCCCTTATAAAACCATTAGATCTCATGAGAACTCACTCAATATCATGAGAACAGGATAGGGAAAACCACCCCCATGACTGAATTACCTAACACAGGGATCATCCCACCACACATAGGGATTATGGGAACTACAATTCAAGATGATATTTGTGTGAGGACACAACCAAACCATATCATTCCATCCCTTTCCTCTCCCACATCTCATGTCCTCACATTTCAAAACAATCATACCTTCCCAACAGTCCCCCAAGTCTTAACTCATCCCAGCATTAATGCAAAAGTCTAAGCCCAAAATCTTATCTGAAGTCCCTTCTCCTTATGAGCCTGTAAAATTGAAAGCAAGTCAGTTACTTTCTATATACAATGGGGGTACAGGCACTGGGTAAATACACCCATTCCAACTGGGAGAAATTGGCCAAAACAAAGGGGCTACAGGCCCCATGAAAGTCCAAAATCCAATAGGACAGTCATTAAATCCTAATGTTCCAAAATGATTTCCTTTGACTCCATGTCTCACATCCAGGTAATGCTGATGCAAAAGGTGGGCTCCCACATCCTTGGGAAGCTCCATCTCTTTGGCTTTACAGGGTACAGCCCCCCTCCTGGCTGCTTCACAGGCTGGCATTGAGTGTCTGCAGCTTTTCCACGCACATGATGCAAGCCATCAGTGGATCTAGGAGCCTGGGGCCTGGGTGACCATGGTCTTCTTCTCACAGCTCCACTAGGTAGTGACCCAGTGGGGACTCTGTGTGGGGGCTCCAATCCTACATTTCCCTTCCACACTGCCCTAGCAGATGGTCTCCATGAAGGCTCCGTCCCTACAGCACACCTCTGCCTGGATGTTCAGATGTTTCTATAGATCCTCTGAAATCTAGGCAGAGGTTCCCAAACCTCAATTCTTAACTTCTGTGCACCTGCAGGACCAATACCACATGGAAGCTGCAAACACTTGGGGTTTCCACCCTATGAAGCCATGGCCCAAGCTGGAGCAGCTGGAACATAGGGCACCAAGTCACTAGGCTGCACACAGCAGAGGGGCTCTGGGCCCAGCCCATGAAACAATTTTTTCCTCCTAGGCCTCTGGGCCTGTGATGGGAGGTGCTGCCATGAAGATCTCTGATATTCCCTTGAGAAATTTTCCCCATTATCTTGTCAATTAACATTTGGCTCCTCATTACTTATGCAAATTTCTGCAGCCAGATTGAATTTCTCCTCAGAAAATGGGTTTTTCTTTTCTATTGTGTCATCAGTCTGCAAATTTTCCAAACTTTTGTGCTCTGCTTCCCTTTTAAATGTAAGTTCCAATTCCAAACCATATCTTTGTGAATGAATAAAACTGAATGCTTTTAAGAGCACCCAAGTCAGTTCTTGTACACTTTGCTGCTTAGAAATTTCTTTTGCCAGATACCCTAACTCATCTCTCAAGTTCAAAGTTCCACGTATCTTTAGGGCAGGGGTAAAATGCTGCCAGTCTTTTTGCTAAAGCATAGCAAGAGTCACTTTTGTTCCAGTTCCCAACAAGTGTCTCATCTCCATCTGAGACCACCTCAGCCTAAACTTCATTGTCCATATTGCTATCAGCATTTTGGTCAAAGCCATTCAACGAGTCTCTAGAAAGTTCCAAACTTTCCCACATCTTCCTGTCTTCTGAGCCCTCCACATCTCTAGGAAGTTCCAAACTTTCCTACATTTTTCTGTCTTCTTCTGAGGCCCCCAAACTGTTAAAACCTCTGTCTGTTACCCAGTTCCAAAGTCACTTTGACATTTTTGGGTATCTTTACACCAGCACCCCATGACCCATTACCAGTCTACTGTATTAAACAATTCTCATGCTGCTAATAAAGATATACCGGAGACTCAGTAATTTATAAAGGAAAGAGGTTTAGTTGACTCACAGCTCAGTATGACTGGGGAGGCCTCAGAAAACTTACAATCATGGCAGAAGGAGAAGCAAACATGTTCTTCTTCACATGGCGGCAGCAAGGAGAAGAATGAGCAAAAGGGGGGAAAGCCCCTTATAAAACCATAAGTTGTTGTGGAACTCACTCACTTTCATGAGAACAGCATGGAAGTAACTGCCCCCATGATTTAATTACCTCCCACCAGGTCTCTCCCACAACACATGGGCATTATGGGAACTACAGTTCAAGATGAGATTAAAGTAGGGACACAGCCAAACCATATTAGTTGGTTTCTTGCACTTCAGAGGAGGAACCTTGAAGTTATGAATCTTGGAGTCTCTTTACTTGCTGTCCCTCTCCCCTCCTGACAGAGACAGAGAGAAACTCTTATTCTCTAATGGTGTATAATCCTTCAGAATGTAAATGTCTCCATAGTTCAGGGATTTTATATTCCTTTGAAATGTAAACACATTTGAAATAATCTCTATTGATTTTTTGGCTCTTTAATTGGTTTTTAGCTTTCAAGGTTAGTCCTTAAACCTAGGTTCTAGTTCCCTTTCCTCAGAAAGTCCTAACTGTATGGAAATATAAAAGTATTCACTTTCAGAGAACAATTTATTAAAAAGATTTCATCACCATGAGCTTTTCTTGATGAAACAATAAAGATTTAAGGTATTTAAGTAAAAACCAATTAGACTTTTAAAAAGAAATTCCAAATAAATAATTTTAATCAATTCCAAAAAGAATAAATATTCTTACTACATTTGTTTATCATGAAACAATGAAAAAAGCTTCAATTTCTTATTGTTATGGGTCTAATTGTGACCTCACAAAATGTACATGTTGAAATCAGGGTCTTTGCAGATGTAGTCATATGCTGCAAATAAAGTTTTGGTCAATGACAGACTACAAATATGACAGTGGTCCCATAAGATTATAATATCATAGCTTTACTGCACCTTTTCTATGTTGATATATTTAGTTACACAGATACTTATTGTGTTACAATTGCCTACAGTATTCAGTACAGTAATATGCTGTACAGTTTTGTAGCCTAAGAGCAATAGGACATATCATATAGCCAAGTTGTATAGAAAACCATATCATCTAGGCTTTATAAGTATAGGCTATAATGTTTGCACAATGACAGAATCACCTAAGGACACATTTCTTAGAACGTATCCTCACAGTTAAGTGAAGCATGACTATAATTACTTAAACTAAGATAAGATAATAATGAAGTAAGTTATGCCCCTAATGCAATCTGACTGAAGTCCGTATGAAAAGGTCAAATTTTGACACAGACATGTACAGAGAAAAGACAATCTGAAAACATAGGGAGAAGATTGCCATCTAAAGCCAAGAACAGAGGGCTGGAATGCATCCTGTTTTCATAGCCCTCAGAAGGAATCAACCCTACCCACACCTGCATTTCAGACTTCCAACCTCCAGAACTGTGAGACAATAATTTTTGTTGTTTAACCCACCTAGTTTGTGGTACTTTGCCATGGCAGCTCTCACAAACAAACACAGAAATTATCTACAAATTAATAATAATGAGCCTGCTATAAGTTAAACCTGAATAGAATGCTGCTAACACAGCATTAAAAGGAGAATGATTAGCATAGAGTATATTTATGTGAAAATAAGAATTTTTAAAATTAGTACATTTATTAGAAAGATCGGGGGGAAAGTATGAGACTCTTATTACCTGGGGAAAAAAGGCAAAAACTATTTTAAAGGAAATAATAAAGAATTAAATAAAAAGTAGAAGTTAATAAAATAGCAATTTAAAAAGTAAATTAAAGAATCTGGATCCTTGAAAAGATAAATGATATTCACAACCTTTGCAAATTCTGACTAATCAATAGCACAAGGAGGAAAAAGGATACTTAACTACAGATACGTAAATGTCATACAATAAATTTTAAAGTCTTGATGCCAAGATAATTTTTCTATTAAAATAAAAATTGCCAAAATTCGCTCAAGTGGTGAAAAAAATCTGGAGGAACTCAGTAAAAATAAACTAAATGTAAACATTAATCAAGAAAATAGGCACATAATAGGTTTATCAATTAATTTTACCAAATGTCTAATTAACAGAAATAATGTTTTCTAAATATTTTTTAGAGTATTGTAAAATGGTAGAAAACATTCCCGTTTACCTGACAATTTTATTGTAATTTTGATTCCCAGATGGCATGGAAAAAGTCAGAAAGCCTTATTATACTGATCCCCCAAATAGAAAAGAAGAACACAGGAAAGAAGCTCAAGCTCACTTTTGAACACAAGTATAAAACTTTGTATATATTACACACACAAAAACGCTATGCACAAACATTTTTATAATTTGTTTGGCTTAGTCTGACTTAAGTAAGGGTTTTGTGGGTATGTTAGTGTATTAGTCCATTTTCACACTTCTATGAAGAACTACTTGAGACTGGATAATTTATAAAGAAGAGTTTTAATTGAGTCAGTTCCGCATGACTGGGGATGACCCAGGAAACTTACAATCATGGTGGAAGGGGAAGCTGGCACCTTATTCACAAGGTGGCAGGAGAAGGAGTGAGAGCGCAGGGAAATCTGCCATTTATAAAACCATCAGATCTCATGGGAAGGACGAAACAGCATGAGGGAAACTTTCCCCATAATCCAATCATTTTCCTTCGTCGACTTGTGGAGATCACAGGTTCCTAGACACATGGGGATTAAAGTTAAAGATGAGATTTAGATGGGGACACAGAACCAAACCATATCAATTAATCAGGGTTATATGGAGAAACAGAACCAATAGAATATACGTAAGAGACTTAAAGTAATATACGTGGAAATGGAGGCTGAGATGTCCTGTGATCTGCTTTCTGCAAGCCGGAGAACCAGGAAAGGCAATCGTATAATTCAGCTCCACTCTAAAGGCCTAAGAATTAGGGAGCTGATAGTATAACCTCCCATCTGAGGCTGAAATCTGGAGAACCAGGAGCAATTATGTCCAAGTGCAGGAGAAGATGGATGTCTCAGCTCAAATAAAGGGAATTTGCCCTTTTTCTGCCTTTTCATTCTATTCAGGCCCTCAATAGATGGAACGATGCCCCCCCACATTAGGAAAGGTCAATGTAGTCTTCTTCACCCAGTCTACTGATTCAAATGTTAATTGCTTCTGAAAACACTCTCACAGATGAACCCAGAAATACTGTTTTACCAGCTGTCTGGGAATTCCTTAGATCAGGCAAGATGACACACAAAATTGACCGTAACAGTGGAGTAAGCAAAGTTATAAAGTACTCTTGATGAAGTTGTGGGGACAGAAGGCATATAAACATGATAGACAGTCATCATATACCCCAGGAGAATGGAGGAAGTGGTTACAATTACCAATTAGATAGACTTGCCATACATGCAACAGAGAAGAACACATACAAATTCCAAATCAAAATTCACATAGATTTAGTTACCAACTATACACTTTACTGATGCTCACATCCATCATGTCTCTAAACATGACACTCTCAAGAAGTGCAGACCAAGAGTTAAACTCCTGCTCAACCCTGATGGAGCCACTGCTGCCAGTAACACGTTCAAGGCAACTCAGAGGTCCATGGAGCAAGCTGGCATGTGTTTGCTCATCTTCAAACTCTATGCAACACCAAGAAAGGACTCACCTCTCAAATATCCCATGAAGCTTGATGAGCTTTCACTCTACTCAGTTCCTAAGGGTGAATTTGAATATGTGGAGGAGTGGAGGACCCAGTTTGAAGAAAGCATCTCTCAGCTCCAACATTATTGTAGGCCATGTACAAGTTGGTGTCAGGAAACATACTCCCAAACTAATCCCAAGATGCAAAGTTTGGGTCAATGAGGGTTAGACAGCTATGAATATCTCCAAATGCACCTCCAGGATATTTTCCAAGACTTGGTGTTATTGGTTTTGCTGGCCTTTTTGGACTCCTTTTGGCAAAAGCTACAAAAATAAAGAAGAAGGTATAGCCTTCTGGGTTCATGGGATTAGCTGCCTCTATCTATTATCTACAATAATTCATTGCATTTGCCCAGGTCAGTGGGGAGAGTTTACATGGTTGGGGTTTATGAAGATACATAGTCCCAGAAGATTTGTAGGAGAACTTATCGTATGTAAAATATAATGTGTAATTGACTGTTTCTCTACACTCTGCTTTTACAAGTAAAATGCATATTCTGTGAGTACTAATCAAAGCCCCATAAGAATGTAACCACTTGTCTCATTGCCTACCCTCACCAACCATTTTTTTTCTCCTTCCTCTCCCTCTAGCTCTTTCTTCTTTAAATACTGAAGTCATCAAAACCCTCTTTGGAAAAGGCACAGACCACAGATGCTCCTGTTATTTGTGTTTTTTTCTTCTTCTTTGCTCAACATTGGCAAAATAAACCTCAAAATCAATTGAGACTTGCCTCAATCTTCTTTTTTTTTGTTTTACAACCCTATGAGGAGACCAATTATGGTAATTTAGAATCTCATTCAGAGCATCACCATTGTTATATGTTTTTTGCACTCACATGGCACAAAACTGAAAAATTATTATGCATTATAAAAATTGAAATCTTATCCTGCATTAGAACAATGGATCTTGCATATTTCATGGTCATGGTGATACTTACCGAGCATGAGTCACTAGGAGCTGGCTGCCAAAATTGCCTCCAGACTAGGACAACAATATAATTTTTCATTTGATATTGATATGAAGGATATTGTAAAACCGGCATGTGTGCATACACACATATATATAGAGGAAACTGCTCTAGAACTGAACGTTCTCAAGGGCAGAATTAGGGCAGGTGCAATAAAACATTGGCCAAGATCAACAAGTGTTGCTTTGAAAATCTTACTGAGATGTTCCCATATAATAAATGAGAGACGGAAAAGAATTTAAGGAATATTCCAAAGCTAGTAACATGGTGTATTAGTCCATTTTCACACTGCTGATAAAGACATACCCCAGACTGGGTAATCTACAAAAGAAAGAGATTTAATTGGACTTATAGTTCTATGTGACTGGGGAGGCCTCAGAATCATGACAGGAGGTGAAAGGGACTTCTTACATGGTGGTGGCAAGAGAAAATGAGGAAGAAGCCAAAGTAGAAACCCCTGATAAACCTATCAGATCTCATGAGACTTACTCACTATCACAAGAATAGCACAGGAAACACCGGACCCCATGATTCAATTACCCACCCCTTGGTCCCTACCACAACACGTGGGAATTATGGGAGATACAATTCAAGTTGAGATTTGGGTGGAGATACAACCAAGCCATATCATTCTGCCCCAGCCCCTCAAAATCTCATGTCCTCACATTTCAAAACCAATCATGTCTTCCCAACAGTCCTCCAAAGTCTTAACTCATTTCAGCATTAACCCTAAAGTCCACAGTCCAAAGTCTCATCTGAGACAAGGCAAGTCCCTTCCACCTACGAGCCTGTAAAATCAAAATCAAGTTACTTACTTCCTAGATACAATGTGAGTACATGTATTGGGTAAATACAGCCATTCAAAATGGGAGAAATTGGCCAAAACAAAGGGGTTACAGTACCCATGCAAGTCCATAATCCAGTGGGGCAGTCAAATTTTAAAGCTCCAAAATGATCTCCTTTGACTCCAGGTCTCACTTTTAGGTCATGCTGATGTAAGAGGTGGGTTCCCATGGTCTTGGGAAGCACCAACCCTGTGGCTTTGTGGGGTACAGCCTCCCTTCTGGCTGTTTTCATGGGCTGGCATTGAGTGCCTGTGGCTCTTCTAGGGGCATGGTGCATGCAAGCTGTCGGTGGATCTACCATTCTGGGGTCTGGAGATGGTAGTCCTCTTCTCACAGCTCCACTAGGCAGTGCCCCAGCAGGAACTCTGTTTGGGAGCTCCAACCCCACATTTGCCTTCTGCACTGGCTTGCCATGCAGCCCCGCCCCTGCAGCAAACTTTTGCCTGGGCATCCAGGTGTTTCCATACCTCTGAAAACTAGGCAGAGGTTCCCAAACCTCAGTTCTTGACTTCTACACACGTGCAGCCTCAACGCTACATGGAAGTTGCCAAGGCTTGGGGCTTCCATCCTCTGAAGCCACAGCCTGAGGTGTATGTTGGCCCTTTTCAGCCATGGCTGGTGTGGCTGGGATACAGGGCACCAAGTCCTTTGGCTGCACGTAGCTCAGGGGATCTGAGCCTGGCCCACAAAATCACTTTTTCCTCCTGGGCCTCCTGGCCTGTGATGGGAGGGGCTACTGTGAAGGTCTCTGACATGGCCTGGAGACATTTTCCTCACAGTCTTGGGGATTAACATTTGGCTCCTCCTTAGTTATGAAAATTTCTTCAGCCAGCTACAATTTCTTTCCAGAAATGGGTTTTTCATTTCTATTGCATTGTCAGGCTGCAGATTTTCCAAACTTTTTTGCTCTGCTTCCCTTAGAAAACTGAATGCCTTTAACAGCACCCAAGTCACCTCTTGAATGCTTTGCTGCTTAGAAATGTCTTCTGCCAGATAATCTGAATTATCTCTCTCCAGTTCAAATTTCATAAATCCATAGGGCAGAGACAAAATGCCACCAATCTCTTTACTAAAACATATCAAGAGTCACCTTTTCTCCAGTTCTCAACAGGTTCCTCATCTCCTTCTGAGACCACCTCAGCCTGGACCTTATTGTCCATATCACTAACAGCATTTTGGGCAATGCCATTCAACAAGTCTCCAGGAAGTTCCAAAGTTGCCCACATTTTCCTGTCTTCTTCTGAGCCCTCCAAACTGTTCCAATCTCGCCTGTTACCCAGTTGCAAAATTGCTTCCACATTTTTGGGTATCTTTTCAGTAATACCCCACTCTACTGGTAACAATTTACTGAATTAGTCATTTTCACACTGCTGATAAAGACATACCTGAGACTGGGCAATTTACAAAAGAAAGAGGTTTAATTGAACTTACAGTTTCATATGGCTTGGGAAGTCTCAGAATTATGGCAGGAGGTGAAAGGCACTTCTTCCATGATGGCAGTAAGGGAAAATGGGGAAGAAGCAAAAGAAGGAACCCCTGAAAAACCCATCAAATCTCGTGAGACTTGTTCACTATCATAAGAATATCATAGGAAACATCAGCCCCCATGACTCAATTACCTCTCCCTGGATCCCTCCCACAACACATGGGAATTCTGGGAGATGCAATTCAAACTGAGATTTGGGTGGGAACACAGCCAAACCATATCACATGGGCAAGATTTAAGAGATTGTATGTGGCTTTGACTTCACATCAAATTTCAAAGCAAACGCTTGAGAGAAGATAGTCTTTTCCTAATAAAAGTTTAGACATGAACACCGTATATGTTAAATATAGTTTTGTGCATGATTAATGTAAATTACTCAATAAAATTATTGGGGTGTTATGACCATTATAAATTAGAGATTAGTAGAATTATATAAAGTTTGACATAATTAGAAAATCACTTATTGTAATTCTATTTATGACTCACATTCTTGCATTTCTTGAATGGTGAGAAAAAATGAAAGCTGGGCTAGAATTTTAAAGTATTATTATATTTACTTTCTCAGGCCCCAAGACCTAGAAATGTCAGAAGCTGGCATGACTGTAGAACAGGTTTTTACCACACAATCAAAATGTAGTAAATTCTAGAACTAGAGCTACAACTTACCAATGGAAAATACTCTTTTGGTTCAGAGACCACACTGTGGTATTCTCTAAGCTTCTAGGTAAAATCTTTTGGGCAAACATAATTGATAATAGTGTATGACAGAGGAGTTTTTCCTATGACACCACAAGCTTATTAGTAGTTGAAGTCAAGTTACAAGCCTTTTTCTTATACAGTGCTTACCTGGCCACTGTTCAATTTCATGTGTTTACTTATTCCGGGTTGGGGAGGATGTGTAAGGGTGTGGCAAACGAAGCTTTCCCTTGCTCCGAGGAGAAATGGAAAGAGAGATAAATATGCAATATGGAGTATTCTAGAAGGTATTGGGTGCTTGCTGCTCATTATGTGTTCATAGGGCCAAGGACATGAGGACCACCTGGGAGCTTGTAGGAATGCAGATGCTCAGGCTCCATCCCAGAAGAAGTGAATCAGAACCTGCATCTTGACAAGCTTCCCTGGTGATATGTGATTACATTCAAGAAGGCTTATTCTAAATTCCATGAGAAAAATATTTTTAGCTATTCAATATCTTTACCTCAGATACTAACACCTAGTGGAAACTCAATAGCATTTGCTCAAAGAAAGAATGAATGAATTAATTGATGGATTATCTTCAACTTTCACTTTAATATTCTAAGAAATAGTCATGTTTTGAAAGTTTACATTTTAACTATATTTAGTTCAAGGTTAAGAGAATGCATCCTGAGAATTTAAAATAAGCAATATATTATGCTGGGCTTTGGGTGCCAAAATGAGACATCATTTTAAAAGAATATTAAGATGTACAGAGAAGTTTATACTTGAATTAAGAATTAAGAACTATACATTTAATCCCATGACAAATATGTTAAAATTTAGACAGTGAAAAACGTTTAGTACTATAGAGCAGCAATAACAAAAAAGAAGGCTCCAAGTAGAAAATAAATTATAATAATAATAAGCTGTTTGAGTTCAGAAGAAGAAATCATTTATTGCTACAGGAACAGAATAACAGTAGGAATAACTAATACATGCTTAGCAGGTACTTCTCAATACAGGGGCACAGAAGCTAAGATATATCTATTGGTGATAATAATAATCGCTTATACTACTATAATATGAACATTTACTACATACTAAGCCCTCCTATGAGAAATTTATGTTAACTCAATTATCATCACATCCTTAGCATGGAATAAGTATTTTTTATTTTACTGACAATTTACAGATTAAAAACTGAGTAATGAGGCAGTTTATCCATGTGCCCAAGGAGAGCTGAGACTTTTTCCTGGAGTGGAGGAGAGTGGATGTGTTTGCATGGGCATGAAATGTTTGCATGTATTCACGACAGAATAACATGAGTAAATTTGGGGTACTAACAATTATGTAGTGTTTTTCTTAACATCATGAGTAACAAATTGGGATTCAGATTTGGGTAAATAAGAGAAAAGCAGGTAATAAAACAATAAGGGAAGTCTGCTTCGCAACTATACTACATTTGACTTGAATCATGGCTTGCTCACTTACCATCAGTGGAATCTCAAACATCTGACCCCTCTGAACCTCTTGTTTCTTCAAATATCTCGTAAGGTGACTATAAGAATTAACCAAATATACTCCATAAAATAAGCTATTTTATCAGAATTATATTAATAGTCACAACTTTAGGTTCATGACAAAATCACAAAATTAGAATATTAACTTTAAGTTATTTAAAGAAATCACAAAGTTAAATTCAATTCAGTGTCTTCACTGTGTCCCATGTCTGACAAAAGTGACTCAAATTGAGGCACTGAGCTCATTGTTGTAACTAGATCATATCTCACTATGCCAAAGTTTTACAGCCTATTTTTTGCATAGGCCTCAATAAACAGTATTTCAACTGGGCTTCTGGCTTTTAGTTATCTGAATATCTGATTCAATATTGGTAAAAAGCAATGCTTTTACAGAAGCCCAATTAACACTAAATATTTTCCTCACTCCACTTGGCTTTCTGTGAAGCATTATATATGAGGAGATACAATAGGCGTGGGATAATTATAAGTCGTGTGTATGATGTCAAAAGGCTATTATTGTGACATTCTAAAGACAGTATTTTCAAAGAATTTTTCTGTAAAGGCGGTGTAAGTTAAATGCAGTACTCCAGTTTGGTTCCAAATAAATTATGGACTGGGTCAGTCATGGAGAAAAAATTACATTTAGAGTTCCCACTGGCGTTATAGGAAGCAAAACTGCAAAGGGCAGGCTCACTCTGAATAACAGGCGTTCCAGATTCTTAATGTTGTTGTTTTCTGAATTGAACCCAAGTCATGAGTTTTGAAATGAGCCCTCAGAAGTCTCAGAGAATTATTGCAGTTGGCCCATACTTTCGTATTTTCTACTAAGGAGACAGAATCTGGCTAATTAAGAAATAATTACATTTTCTGTGATCTAATTTGAATTCTAGCTCATGTCTATATTTGGTTTTAATTTTTTTCTTGACCTTCATTTAATAAATCCTCCAACCATATTGGCTGTGAAGTGAAACGTGCATCATAGTTTGGCATTTCCTTTCATTTCTTCCTAAGATATAAATGCCTTCAACCAGAAATTATACACATACTGGAAATAATATCTCTTTTAACAATAGTATTTCTCATTCATTCCAGCTATGTTATCTTATATATTATTATATTTTAAGAAAATTAAAAGGTTATTCAGTTATTACTGAAGATATTGACTCAATATCAATAAAAGAGAGGAAAGGAGTAAGATTTTAAAAAGAAATAGTTGATCTCAAAGAAGTTTGTGAAAAATCTGCCATTTATTTTAGAAGTTTTTTTCATATTACTCCACAAATAATTATAAAACAGAGAGGAAGAACATAGTATAGAAACCATAAAGAGTATAAAGTGTATAAAATATCTTAATTACTAACATAAAATCAGTCCGTCTAACTCAAAAGAGATAACTGGTGATCAGAATGTTTTTCAATCAAAATATTATTAAGCAGGCAGCACATTTATTCATTTTCCTGGGAAAAGGCATTTAATATCACTGAATTTATTGTATGCATACATTTCATTTATCTTCTTAATCTATTTTCAGAATAAACATGATGTTTACATAGGAAGTATTGACCATTAACTACTCCCAAATCAAGAAGGAAAAATGCCATTCTTCTAATGAAATGAAAACGCTACTAACTAGGAATTGGAAAGAATGAAAAGGATTGCAGAGATTTTTTTAGCTTTCTCAATATCCCTGGGAAGCAAGTCCAAGTATATTCTATTTTCTTCCTGTACGTGTTAGCGAAATCTCATAAAATTCTCTTTAATTCATCCACGAGAACAGATTTTCATGTTACAAAGTATTGCACTATTGTAACACGCATATGGCTATTGATACAGTAGCAGTAATTATTTTGGTCCATTTAACAGATCATTTGGAGTTATTATTAGAGTATTTTATTCTCTATCTCCTTTTTTTTTGTTTTGTTCTGGAAAGACTACAATTAGGCTGCTTCACTGCTTCTTTTTTCCCTTTTTTCCTTAATATGTTTTAACTTTTGAGAAAGAAAAAAAATTCTCTAGTCATACTCTTTTAATCACCAAGGCTTTGGAAGGCAGTGAAATTACTTAAAAAGAAAGATGTTTTCCTATTCTCAGTCTTAGCAAAGTGAAAAAAAATAGCACTGAGGTCTTTGTCATGCTTAAACTACCTAATATACTCTGCGGACAATTATCAATAAAAAATGTTTTAACCCAGATATTATAGATCTGATTTTCTCACTTTTGTATTCCTGTCTGGAGGTCTACAAAAACATTTTTTTTTTTTTTTTGAGACGAAGTCTTGCTCTGTCGCCCAGGCTGGAGTGCAGTGGCGCGATCTCAGCTCACTGCAAGCTCCGCTTCCCGGGCTCATGCCATTCTCCTGCATCAGCCACCCCGAGTAGCTAGGACTACAGGCGCCCGCCACCACGCCCGGCAAATTGTTTCTATTTTTTAGTAGAGACGGGGTTTCACCGTGTTAGCCAGGATGGTCTCGATTACAAAAACATTTCTTATCATGCAGGAGGTTAACACAATGAAATAAAATTGTACTCCTAATCCCAAATATTCACACCCCCTCGTGCCTTTGGGTAAACTTCCCCTACCCACTGTCAGGCTTGGCCACATAAATTGCTTTGACCAATGAAATGTGAGTGAATAATACATGTTTCACACTTCCAAAGATAACCTTTAGAAATAACTTCATATTTTAGGATCAGCCTCTTTAGCTTCTACCCTCTTCTATGAAAACAAGTTAAACCGAATAGAAGCTGTTGCTCCAGCATGGGTTTTTGATTGATAAGACATGTGGAGCTGAGTGCAGTCAGCCAGAAATAATGTATAAGAAGAGCAAGAAATAAATGTTTGTTCTTATAAGCCGTTAAGATATTGGAGGTTTTTATTACCGCAACAGAAACCATAGAATACCATTGGTACTCAACGCTGGACTTTCGCTACTGAATAAACAAAACAAACAAACTGGTGCTGGGCTGTGGACTATATTCAGAGCCTAGAAAAAAAATGGCAACCATTGTCATGCAGTGCAGGAAACTCCTGCCTATAATAATTTGAAACACAAAAAATTAACTTAATAGACTTTCAATTTCGGAAAAAGAAAATTTGAAACAGAATGTTACTAGCATTGATTGGATGTTTTCTGCATTTGATGAACTGAGAAAAGAATCACCTTATTTACAATAGGTGTGAAAGAAAAAATAACAAGTCTAGACATTCTGAGAGTAGTATCATTTAAAAATTGAGACTATTTCTCATCTAGGGTCAGAGAAAAATATTTTAAAAAGAAATGCTTTGGGCTATTAAAGGTGATTAAGACTCATCCTAAATATGACTTAGGCTCAGGAAAAAGGTATTTTGCCAAAAACTCTGATTGTTTTAAGGTGGCCCCACGTGAATGCTGTCAGTTGCATAAAGTAGTTCCAAAAAGAAAGACCAAGGACCTGGTCCCAGAGAAGTCAAAAGTTAGGAGCTGGATAAATTCAAAGTACATTTAATTGTGCTTTGAGAGTGAGGCAATTCTTAAAAATAATAATTATGGCTATTGGCACACAGACTTTGAAACAATCAAAAGGATTTTTTTTTTATTTAGTTTTTCAAAGAGATTGATATGGTGAAACGTGCCATTAACCTCGATGAAAACAAACTTACTAGTAGAATTGTAAAATGATTTTGGGCACCCCACTTTATAAGAAAGAAAGCAGGCTGGTAAAGATGCTTATTTTTTCCAATGAAGGTCTCTTTTCCAATGACTGTATCAGCTGTCGTCAAGACAGAAAATGAAAAATAAGTCATTTTCAGAGTGGATCCAGTAGCTATAAAAAATAATGAACTAGGGAAGAATTCTCAGAGAGAAAATATGGCCTAATGAAAGAACATGTGCTATTGTCAGGATTAAAAGTTCTTATACTATTTATCCAGTGGCATTGCCATTCTTCCCCTTTGTGAATGGATGGGTTTATTACCATTGTTCTGTCTTTGTGCCCTCATTGTATGTTGGTTGTGTTTATTGGTAGTATGGATCCAGGTAACTTGTTTTCTTAATTACTTGGGAAGCTGTATCCAGATCTGAAGTAGACATCCTGGAGTATTAATATGTATGTGTGTGTGTGTGTGTGTGTGTGCAGGAGGGAAGTGAATACATGCTTAATAAGAGTATAAATTTTGTTCACTCTTCCAGCTCACCCAATTTTCCCGCTTAATCAATTTTCCTTATACTAGCTTAGCTTTGGCCAATATAAGTGAGCAGATGGGATATATGTCCAGTCAAGTAGCTTAAATACAGAGTTGGCTCATCTTCTAGAATTTTATTTTTATTTTTATTTATTTATTTATTTATTTTGAGATGGAGTCTCGCTCTGTCACCCAGGCTAGAGTGCAGTGGCGCGATCTCGGCTCACTGCAAGCTCCACCTCCCAGGTTCACGCCATTCTCCTGCCTCAGCCTCCCAAGTAGCTGGGACTACAGGTGCCTGCTACCACTCCTGGCTAATTTTTTGTATTTTTAGTAGAGACGGGGTTTCACCATGTTAGCCAGGATGGTCTCGATCTCCTGACCTCATGATCCGCCCGCCTCGGCCTCCCAAAGTGCTGGGATTACAGGCTTGAGCCACCACACCGGGCACCGCTCTAGAATTTTTTTACCCTCTGCAGAGGGACTAGAATGTCCAGTACAGAGGTTGGTATGTTAACCTGGGCTCAGGAATGAGAAAGCATATTAAGTAGAGCTACACTTGGCCCATAAACATCATGTACCATGAGCAATAACTAAATGTTTATTGTTGTAATCTGCTGCAATTTGGGAATTATTACTACAGCAAGTGTTGATTAATGCACTTGGTAACCAGCAATTAAGAATGGTATTTATTTAACAATAGAAAAGCTATTAATTTAAAACTTGATAGTTAAGTTTTGTTTTATTTTTAATTTAGTTTTATTTTTACCTGACAAATAATATTTGTACATATTTATGGGGTACATAGTGATGTTTTGATACATATAATGTGTAGTGATCAGATCAGGGTAATTAGTATATCCATTATCTCAGACAGTTATTTATTTGTCTTGGGAACATTCAATATTCCTTTCTAGCTATTTGAAACTATATATTTTTAAAAAATAATGCCATAGGCCTATCAGATAATTTAAAATGAAATATCTAAAACATTCAGAAAAATTAACAATTTCTACACAGAATCAGGGATACTAATTATAAACATTCTATCAAAGAGTTGTCCAAGTTCCATCTGTGCCATGAAGATTTTGGCTAAATACAAACTCAATTTTGTTTATTATGTTATATTCAGTTATAAAATTATAATTCTAAATTAGGTCTATTTGAAAGATGGATACCACATTTAAGAGAAATGGTTCACATTACATGTTCTCAATATTTTTTGTTGTCCTCAATATTTTTAGTTTCCCATATGTTATTAAAACCTAAATCAGTTTTAGAGAAATTATAGAACAAATTCTGTGTTCATGTGAAAGAGCCCTTTCCAAACATACAACTTTTTCAGAATATTGTATTTCTTCCTTTAACTTAGTTGCCTGCTGTCAATGGTGACCCATCCAAGATAAGGCAAAAACCCACCTGAGAGTATGTGCCCAGTAGCACAAGTTTCAGTGAAAGTCTTTCTTCAATAATATGACCTTATTTAAAGGAACTAGTACCTACTGGGACAACTTACTACTTTGATTTTGGTTTTCTTGTATACATACTACTTTATAAATCTTTCCTGTATTTTCACCACTCTTATGTATAAACTTTTGCATACCCACATATATTTAATTAATTGTAATTTTCAATTTTCTAATTTCTGTTGTTGATACACACATAATAATGAAAAAATAACATGTTAGTCTTTTAAATTCCATATGTGTAATAGTTGGAATATTAAAATTAACATTTGATTTTAATAAAAGACCTAAAAAATAGTAAATTGTATGCATATATGTTTCTGGGTTTAGGCAGGATCTGATGTTAAACAATTTATAACATGTGGAAAGATGTCTTGAAACTTCCAGACTAAGATCCAGAAAACAAAGATTTTAACTGAAATCTTTGTAAGCTCTGGTCTCCTGGATCAGCACATTTGAAGGCTTAGCCTAATAGGCATTGTGTAATGTGGTGCCTTAAGGAAACTTAGTCATCATATGTAGCTGTTAGAAGTGTATAAAAGCATTTTTCCTTAGACACTATATAATAATAATCATTGTAGGGGAGCAAAAATGTCTTTCTTTCACCCTTCTAGGTTCTTTGGACGAACTATGTATTAAATTGGTATAGATTAAAAGAAGAAAAACCATATTTACTCCATATATATGCAGGAGAGTCTCACAAAATATGAGACCCACAGGATGGCCAGATGAAGGAAGCTTATATAGCATCCTGGGCTGCAGAACCAAAGACAGGATTGGGACTTCTGGAGGGTGATGGTGACACAAGTTATGGGAAGGTGAGGGGAGAACATGCATGGTGAATAAAGGTTGTCTTGTTATGCAGATAAGAAGTCTCATATAAGAAAAGTTGTCTCTGAGCAGCTCTCAAAAAATAGGTCTGTCTGGAGGTGCTGTCCACCTTCAGTCTCCTCTCCTATGATCTGAGTTAATCTTCCCTGGTTGATAAGGTTCCTGGGGAGAAGATTCAGGACATTTGACTTCCTTTTTTAGGATCCCTCTGTTAGAAACAAGAGCTCGGAGTCGCAAGGAAAATGAGCACTCAGATGAAGGATTTCTCAGCAAGGCAAATTTACTTCTGCAAAGTGGTACTGTTCACACTTCTGCCCACTGTGAGAGCACACCGAACAAAGGAGGGAAGGGGTTTTTATCCCTAACGTGGTTAATCCTTGCCTCTTGTCCTGTCCCCATTGGCTAGACTCAGACCACACAATCTAAACTGACCCAATTGGCTACTGTTTAAAATTGAATATGGCTAATTAGACAGGAAGGGAAAGGCTGTCCATTATGTACAAATGTGTTTGGGCATGTCAGGGCATGGCCGAAGCGGGAAGGGTAGTTTTGGCGGGAAGAGCTGTTTCAGTGGGAGGGGAACAAAACCCATTGTACCCATTGTACACTGAAAATGAACAAAACCCATTTGTTTGGGACTGGTGGGAGAAGTTGTTTACAGAGCAGGTAGCTTAGGAGAAGGGACAGAAAGTTGATCTTGAGAACAAAGAACAAGGAAGTCAGAAATTACACCTTTGAAGAGGTACTTACTGTATCTGACACCTCCTTAGGCACATGTGGGGACTGAGAGAAAGCCTCTGCCTGCATCTACTGCTCCCCAAGTGTCATCCTCAGTTTAAAGTAATCAGCACACCAAAGTGTCATAGCACACCTATTACAATGGCAAGATAAGTAAGGATTGAGGGCATAAGTCCTTTGCATTTGTCGAACCATTTTTCCATTAAATTAGTGAAGGGATTGTTTATTCCTGAATTTTTAGCTAGTTCATTGGATAAAGCAGTAAGACCTTGTAATCCTTTTGCTACGGTTCCCTCAGAAGCAGTATTATTAGGTATAAAAGGACAACATTGAGTTCCAATCAGGACACAAACTCCACCTTTCTCTGCTAGTATCATGTCTAATGCCATTCTATTTTCCCAAGTCATTTGGCTGATGGGTCCTAATTGTTTAGTTATCCCTTTAATAGCATCTCTAGTATAGTTAACAAATCATTGTTAATTTTAATAGATGTAATTTATCCAATCTACATTTTTATTTACAGTTAACCACCAGAATAGTACAAACTCAAACCCTGTAACTATCTGATTTTGGGCCTTAAATTCATCTGGCACTCCTCTCGGGACTCCAGTGGCATCTATGTAAACATGAGAGACAAAGGACCCATGAGGGGCATCTGTTGTTTCACAATGGTTTCTCTTTATCCTTTTTGGTTGATGAAATGCTAGGGTGAAAGAAATGGCCAATTGGATGAGAGCACAAGTGCCACTCCAGTTACTTGGCAGAGTGTCCAGTAATGGTCCTCCACAATATCACCATACATCTGCTCAGGGATGGATCAGGGCAGACTGATTTGTCAGCTCTTGGAATGGCGTAAGCTCACTGCATCCCTTTAGATCTCCAAGAAATGTTAAGTTTTCCCCTTGTTGTGAAAGACACGAGGTAAAATTGGCATCAGGAGACAGAAGCTGGATGGCCTTCGGGGGCTGACCAGCAGGGTGCGGGACTTGAAGGAATAGCAGAGAGAGAGCTCGGCATAATTCATTACCCCAGGCTGTAGATGAGACCTACCATACAGTTCATGCCTGATTGTTTGGAGGACCATCCGAGTGGAAAGGGGACAATCTGGGCCTCTGGCCTGCTGTGCGAACAAGTGTAACACTCAATTTTGCTTAGAGTGTAGATGGAATATTTAATCCATTCCAGGCACGCATTTGCATCTTTGTACCCTGTCTCTAAAGCTATAGTCTGCCTTAAATCTTTTACCTCCACCCTGAGTTGGGTCTTCTGGAGATGGGGGGAGAACAATGGGCCTCCCATTGTTTGGGGAGAGCGTTGGGTCCCATATGTTTCCCCAGACTCTGGGTCTGGATTTCTTTATTGTTTTTAGCTGATGGTCTAGCCAACCTCAAAGAGAAGATTCCTATGGGGTCCTGTCCTCTAACATCTGCTCCTAACCCATACCATTCGAATATGGAGGGTTCTTTGGCCATTGTTTGGGGATTATCTATAATTAGCAAGAAGGGGTTACACTGCTATGACTTACAATTTGTTGGGGTGGGACCATGAATAAGTTGGAGTTTCTGTTTCAGTCTTCACAACTTGTTTGAAGAAGGGGGCCTGGCTGTCCACCCTCCATATTGGGTGGTCCGCCAAACATCCGTCCAGTTACCACAGGGACTTTGTAAGGCTCCATACTTATACTTAGTTAACTCACTACGGTATGGACATAGATACTGATCTACATTTGATAGCTGCCTTTGAGCTCGTCCGTCTCCACATTAGATGACTGAACAAGCATCGAACTGAAGGGTTAAGGGATGGTTAGTTTGAGTCACACTGATGACGAGGTGACTTTCTATTGGAAAGAAAGGGAAAATAAACAAGTGATTATTAAGCCCTTTTTAGAGTTAATTTGGTGGGGTGGGCACTGGGGTGACAACCCATTTTTTCTCTGGCTGGAGAAGCCACTCCTTTCACCCACGTGTGTTGTGTCTATCCCCTTTTGGCCATGCAGACCATGGTTTCTGCAGTTAGAAGCACTAGATAGGGTACTCCCCAAGCCAGTTCAAGTTTTCCTTCTTTCCAGCTTTTGATGAGAACGTGATGCCCAGGCTGACGCTGATGTGCTGGAAACTCCAAGGGTGGCGTCTGTGCTAAAAGGCCTTTTGTTCTGAGAGAAGAGAAAGTGGAAGACAGACCAAGTATATAGATCCTGAGAAACTGGTCTTTAGTTTCAATCATAAGAATGTCAGCAGTGGAGTGTAAATAAGGCAACCCATATAGCATTTCATAAGGAGATAAGCCAATATCATTCCAAGGGGCAGTTCGGACCCTCAATAAGGCATTAGGTCCATGATAGTCGAGTCTCTAAAACTCATGTGGTTAGGTGGCATTTTAGGGCTTGGTTCATTCTTTCTACTCTTCCTGATGAAGGTGGGTGCCAGAGGGTATGCTATTCCCACCTTACTTCTAATACTTGGGTTAGCTTTTTAATGACAGGTGCAGTGAAATGGGTTCCATTATCTGAATCAATATTTTCTATTAATCCAAACCAGGTAAAATATTTTTGATGAATGCCTTAACTACATTACTGGCAGCTGCACTTGAAAAGAGAAGCTTTTACCCAGTGAGTAAGGTGATCCACTATTACTAGTAGATACTTTAGGCGATCTATTGGGAGCATTTCAGTGTAATCTATTTGGATGCTTTGGAATGGACTTAATCCTGGGTTTCCTCCTCCAAGGGGTGGTTTTCTTAGGGTTTGCTTACTGGTTTTTTTTGTTTGTTTTTTTTTTTTTTTTTTTTTTTGAGACGGAGTCTCACTGTGTCGCCCGGGCTGGAGTGCAGTGGCACGATCTTGGCTCACTGCAAGCTCTGTCTCCTGGGTTCATGCCATTCTCCTGCTGCAGCCTCCTGAGTAGCTGGGACTACAGGTGCCCACCACCACGCCTGGCTAATTTTTTGTATTTTTAGTAGAGACGGGTTTTTGCCGTGTTAGCCAGGATGGTCTCGATCTCCTGACCTCGTGATCCGCCCGCCTCGGCCTCCCAAAGTGCTGGGATTACAGGCATGAGCCACCATGCCCAACCTGCTTACTAGTTTTTATGCATATTAAACAACTATCTGTAACTTGTTTTGTTACAGCATAAATTCCTATAGATCCATAGACTCTAAGAACTGCATCACACATAGCTTGAGGTCCCCAGTGGGTTCCTTGATGCAGCTGAGATAAAACCTCCCTCATGAGAGATTAGGCTAGCATTTCTCTTTGATCTGGTAACATCCATTTTCCTTTTGAGTTTTCCTTGGCTCCTATTATTAATTTCTTCTTTTCAAGAGGGGGGAAGATGGGAATGGCAGTTGGGGGAGAAAGGCAAGGGTGAGGTGAAAAACAGGCGTTTCAGAGAAAACAGTGGCTTGTTTGGCTATTTGGTCTGTGAGGTTATTCCCTCAGCTTTCAAAAGAAAGATTTGTCTGGTGTCCTGAAACATGGACAATAGCTATTTCTTCTGGCAACTGAAGGTTATGTAATACCTGGGTGATTAATTCTTTGTGGATGAAGTCTTGGTTTTTGCTATTAATGAGACCTCGTTCAGTCCAAATTTTCCCGAAGGTATGGGCTACCCTGAAGGCATACCTATAATCAGTATAAATAGTCTCTTCTTGGTTTTGTAAATGTTTTAAAGCTTGATTTAATGCAAACAATTCACATGTTTGGGCTGACCAATTATTGGGCTATCTTCCTGACTCTACTTCTTCAAGAGCTTCCCCATAGACCACTGAATACCCATTATGCCTTTTTCCCCCAGTTACCCAGGAGGAGCCATCTATTAATAGATGTTGTCCTGTTTTGAAAGGGCTCTCTCTTAAATTGGGCCTGATCTTTGTGTGATAATCAATTAAATCTAAACATTTATGCTCAGGTCCTTTTGGATTTGGGTTCCCTGTCAGGAAACCTGCTGGGCTAAGTGAATTATCAGTGGTTAATGTTAAGCCATCTCTTTCTAATAAGATAGCTTCATACTTTAAAATCCTTGATTCGGTGAGCCATCTTCCTGCCTTTTGATTTAAGATTGTCCTAACTTGATGGGGTGTGCTCACCACCAATTTCCCCCAAAGATTAGCTTCCTGCTTTCTTCAGTTAACAGGTGGTAGCCATGATAGATTGAATGTATTCAAGCCGCCCACAGGTTACTGGGTCTAAAACTGTGGTTGTCTGTGGCCCCCATGCTCTTGAGAAGCAGCCCTAAAGCTACCCCCTTGTTTGCATTAATGAAAAGGTGAAGTGGTTTTTCTAGGAAGGCAGGGCTAAGATGGGAGCAGTGATGAGTAGGTGTTTTAACTCCTCACCCTGGTGGGTTTCATCAGGAGTGAGGAAGGAGAGGGTGAGGCTTTTCCTGGGTGACCTTCAGGTATAAGGGTTTTGTCTTTAGGGCATAAGAATCAATCCATAGTTGGCAATACCCAACTAATCCCCAAAATTTTCTGAGCTCTTGCTTGGTTTTAGGCAAAGGTAAAGACATGATTCCTTGGACTCGTTTGAGCCCTATCCTTCGCTCGTCTTTGCTTATTAAGTGTCCTAAATATTTAACCTCAGGTTCCACGAATTGGAGCTTTCCTTTTGAAAGCTCATATTCCCTTCTCTTGTAAATAGTTAAGAAGGTGTGTGGAGAAAGCAGCCAGCTGCTCTATAGCCTCACCAGATAAAAGCAGGTCTTCCACATATTGGAGCAAGCATATGTGTTTCAGGATACAAATTTTTTCTAGAACCTGTTCTAGGATTTGACCAAAGAGGTTAGGTGAATCTGTGAACACTTGGGTCAAGACTGCCCATCAGTATTGTTGCTTTCGTCCAGAATGAGGATCTTCCCATTCAAAAGCAAATATGTCCCTGCTGTCCTCAGCCAAGGGGCATGCCCAGAAGGCATCTTTTAAGTCTATCACTATAAACCATTGATGGTCATATGGTATTTTGCTAAGGATAGTGTAAGTGTTGGGAACAAGAGGGTGGGTAATCTGGACTATTTGGCTAATAGCTCTGAGGTCTTGCACTAGTTGCTATGACCCATCTGATTCCTTTACAGGCAATATTGGAGTGTTATAAGGTGACATACAGGGTTCAAGAAGCTTATCTTGAATGAGACCTTCTACTACAGGTTTTAGGCCTATTCTGCCCTCTAGAGGAATGGGATATTGCTTTCTTCTATTTCCCTTGGGGTTTTTTAACTTTATAAGTACTGGGGCTACTTGAAGTCTTCCTCAATTTCCTTCTCTCGCCCATACATCAGGATGAATGTATTTTTCATCTCCAGTGGTGACTAGATTTAATGAGGTAAGAAATCCATTTGGACAGACATGTAGGCCTGTATCTAGTTTTAGCATTAAATCTCTTCCTAACAGGTTAGTTCCTGCCTCAGGGGTTAACAGATATTGAACGTGGGTTGATCGATTTTTATATTTGACCTCTGTGTCTTCTAAGAATCTTCCTTTAAACCCTTCTCCCTTCACCCCCGAGACAAAAAGTTCTTCTGAGGAGCAAGGGGCATTAGGTAAAGAGAAACAAATAGAGGAGCGAGATGCTCCTAAATCTATTAAAAAGATTATAACTTCATGTTTGGGTCCCATCTCTGAATTTATCAAGGGCTCTTGGTGGGATTCAAGATAAAAAGAGCAGAGCTCCTGACCTCCCTATTCTCCTTCAGAAGCCCCAAGTGGAATGACTTCTTTATTCTTCTCCCATTTGGGATATTCTCTCTTAAAATGACCTACTACTTCATATTTGAAGCATTTATTTTTTCCTCCCTCCCTTCCAGTTCTGAGGTTCCCTGGTCTCAACTCTCTATGTCCTTTATATTGTCTAGCATGTGAGGACTTAAACCCTTTGTAAGTTTTAGCCCCCCATAGGCCTTGTTTAGGGGGTGTGGGTCCCTTGGTAACAGAGAGTAGTATCAGTGGACCTCGTCTTTTGGAACCCCTGTTAGAAGGTGGATAACATAATTTTTGCTTTTTGTTTCTGCTATTCTTCATCTCTTCTCATATATACTTTTTGAGCTTCTCTTAAAAGCTCTTCAATAGTCCAGTATTTCCAATTCTTTATCGTTTGTAATTTCTTAGCAATATCTGGCCAACTGTTTGTAACAAAATGTAACTTAACTTTCCCTGCCCAAGAGGGTCTTCTAAATCTAGGCCTGCATATTTTCTCATTTGCTCTTTCAGCCTATCTAGGAATTCCATCAGTCCTTCATCCTTTCTTTGTTGTATATCGAACACTTAGGAAATATTTTAGATTTGGGGTACTGATTCCCAAATTCCTTTTATTACCATTTCCCTGAGATCTCTCATATTCTCTCAGTGATTTGCATTGTTATTGTCCCATTGAGGATCTTGGGCTGGAAATTTGTGGTCTGCCACAGGAACATTTTGGCCAGGAGGATGTTCACTTTCTCAGACTACCATAGTCACCCTATGGATCATGCTTCCTTCTTCCCTTGAAAAGAGGATGCCCAGGATGGACATTAACTTGGCCCAAGTATACAGCTGTGACCCTAAGAATTGATCAATTTTATCTGCTACCCCACAAGTGTCATCTAACAATGACTTGAGCTCCTTTTTTAAATTTTGAACTTCTGAGATAGTTAAGGGAGCATTTCCGAAGCCGATGCCTCCTCCTCCAAGGGGAACTTCCCTTAAGGGGAAGAGAGTTGGGGCTGATTTCTTAGAGGTGGAGGGGAAAGAGAAGTTCTGAATATCCTTTTTACACTGTTCTATCTCACGCTGGAGCCTTCCTGGAGAAGATATAGACACAGGCGTGTGGTTAGGGAAGGCAGGGGGCATAGGGGCAGGCATTGACTTGGAGTTATATGGAGGAGGAATTGAGTGAGGAGGGTCTTGTGTGTCTGCTTGGGGTGTGGAATTTGGTGGAGGTGGGTGGTCTAGTGGGTCCCATACATTGGTGGGTTGTTTTGGGGTAGAGGTCTTACTTTCCTCAGAGGAGCTGGTTTCTGGCTTACTTCCTCTAGCTTTTAGGGGGTAAAGAAGGACGCATCCCTGCCACCAACACAGGGCATAATCTGTTTCCTCCTGGGAGATGGGACTCTTGTCATTGACATACTCTATTAGAAGTTGACAAATCCAATCCTCATTTGACCCAAATGTTGGCCAGAAAACTGAGCATTTGAGGAGGGGCTCTGTGGTCCAAATGAAACAACAATATTTTATCATTTGTTGTTTTTTCTTATGTTTAGTCCTTTCATTATCCCTCCAATATTTTAACATGAGACCTAAGGGAATATCAGAGGGAATGTTATTATTATCACTAGCTTTATCCCTTTTATTTCCTGTCTTAGTTGGGATGTTTCCCATCCTGGAGGTTTGGTGTGAGGCTCAATCCCTCATGTTAGAGATTTCATGCCTTCCCTTCTCTAGAGGCTTGCTGAGGCTTAATCCCTCATATTAGAGATTTCTTGCCTTCCCTTCTCTAGAGATTTAAGCCCCCCCTGCTGGAGTTCTCTTGCACTCCTTTCCTTTCGCTTCATCCTTCTCTGGCCTCTTCCCTCACAGGAATTCAGGTCTCTCTTAGCATTGGCATGTCAGTATAAGCCCCACAGCAGGAATCCACCATAAGCCGTATGAGGTGACTACGGAACCACAGACCCAGACTCTGCACTCACTTTGTGTTTAATTGTGCATCTCATTCACACACCACACACATTCAACCTTCAAGATGTCCCAACCACTGAGGAAATACTTTGTCACCCCCGCAACTTTTCTTACCTTGGTCTGTGCACAGAGTTACCTGGTTGCTGCAGTACGTGAGGATCCTTTTCACCCCCGTTGCAGAGAGTCCAGGTTTATTCGCCATGCTGGGGAGGTCTCAATCCCTCATCCCTGAGACTACCACAGCGAGGCAATGGGACACATCTCCTCATGAGAGATGGGTGGGAACCTCTCCCCAGAGCAGAAAGGCAATCCCAGACAAGCCCCAAAGTTGTTAGAAACAAGAGCTCGGAGTTGCAAGGAAAACGAGCACTCAGATGAATGATTTCTCAGCAAGGCAAATTTACTTCTGCAGAAGGGTGCTCTTTGCACTTCTGGCCACTGTGAGAGCACACCAAATAAAGGATTGAACGAGTTTTTATCCCTAACATGGTTAATCCCTGCTTCTGTGACCTGTCCCCATTGGCTGGAATCAGACTGCACAATCTAAACTGACCCAATTGGCTACTGTTTAAAATTGAATATAGTTAATTAGGCAGGAAGGGAGAGCCTGTCTGTTATGGTACAAGGCTTATGTTTGGGCATGTCAGGGCGTGGCAAAGCTGGGAAGGGTAGTTTCAGCAGGAATACCTCTTTCAGAGGGAGGGTCAGTTTACCGAGTGGGTAGCCAGGAGTAAAGAGGACTCTTTCCAAATAAGGAAGAGGTGTGAGTTACAGATTGGGACCTGTGGGATAAGTTGTTTACAGAACAGGTAGCTTAGGAGAAGGGACAGAAAGTTGATCTTGAGAACAAAGAACAAGGAAGTCAGAAATTACACCTTTGAAGAGGTACTTACTGTATCTGACACCTCCTTAGGCACATGTGGGGACTGAGAGAAAGCCTCTGCCTGCATCTACTGCTCCCCAAGTGTCATCCTCAGTTTAAAGTAATCAGCACACCAAAGTGTCATAGCTTGAGGTGGCATTTCCTGAACTCCTTCATCACAAATAAAATACTTAATAGAGTAAGCACTCTATAACCGGCTCTGTGCAATGAAGTGTACATATATCTCATTTACTCCTCAGAATGATCTTATAATATAGCCACTATTATTGCATCATTTTACAAATAGGGAAAATGAGATTTTAATTTAAAGTTATTAAAAGTCCCTTTGCAGAGACCCAGACAATAACTCTAAGAGTCAAAGGTAAGGTTATAGTAGTATCTTCAGCATAGTACTTTTGATTCAAATGTTCAAAAATAAAATCCCAAGAAATAATCAGATATTTAGTCTAAAGTCACACCTGGTGTGAACATATGATATAATCACCTGTAGGTTTTTCTCCTCCACTGTTGACTGTGGTTCTAGTTCAGTCTTATAGGGACATCTTGAACACACTGACTTTCCTTCTACGTGAAAACTTGTTTATTTGTAGGCAGTTTTTAAGTCCTCCCTCTTGTTGGGACTAGTCATCCCCATTATTTTCATAGAACGTGGTTTCTCACTCTTTCACTCTTTAGGAAGTCTGCTTCTCAAGTGCGTTTGTTTGCTAATGTCTTTAAAATGAGGCAATAAGAGAGTTAAAGGTAGGAAACATTAAAGGCATAAAGATCAGTTAAAGAACACAAGACCTTGGGATGAGGTGGATATCAATAAAAAAGAAAAAAAATAAGGGCTTAATAGAAGAAGAAAGGAGATTACTAACAAAAAATACCCTTCGAATTTTGGCTTAGTGCTAGTCCAGCCAATGATACCTAAAATTAGTTTTATGTTTCCATTTGTTGATCCCTGAGTCATGATCAGAATATAATTCTTTATCTGGTTTGATCTGAAGTTAGCAAAGGCTCTTGAAAAGGAAGTTCAAATGAGCTTTGTTCTTCTTAGTCTTAATGTCTGAAAGATTGTCCTGTTTGTTCAGTTTTATGTTCTTTACCTTAATGTCTGAAGGTATTTTACTAATTTGTTTTTTATCTTTTCTGGTTAGTGTAAAATTATAAGAGAATCGGAGGCTCTTGTTACATGAAAATGTGAACCATAGCAAAAAAATACTATCACTTAGTGATTTTCCTACTTGAAAATAACAGGTAAATACTACAAAAGCCATTTCAAGTTTGTTACCTAAGTTTTATTTAGCATACTTAATTTTTTATATTTTCAACATCAAACATATAATAAGGTAGATTTGAACTATTTTGGTATTCAAATCTAGTTTACATAAAGATTAGCTGCCCCTAATAGCCCATAAGTATGTGTTTGTGGGTAATGGTATTGTTGCAGAACTTTTTCTTAGTTCAGCTGAAGATGGGGTCCTTGTCCCTCCCACACCACGAAAATTTAGGCTTGCAGACAACCGCGAAGGGTGTGTAAAGCAGGGTTTTATTGGATGAAAAGGAAAAAAAGGGGGAAACAAGGACTCTCACTAGGCAAGAGACCCTGCTACATCACTTTTCGCTTGCAGCTTGAATCCCAGCTTCCACACAGGAAGAGGAGGGGCCAGGCTCCGCCCTACTGCTAACCGCATGAACTTCCCAAGTCTCTACTTTAGCGGGCAGGCTGTCTGGATTTTCTCCAGGAGTCCCTCCCACCTGGCTGTCTCAGTATGTATCAATATGATTCTCTGGAAAATCACAGAGATGAAATCTCATATTAATTTCACAACAAGAATTTTCCCTAAGTTGAAAGAAGGAATATTAAGCTAGGCTGGCAGCAATGATTGAAGATGATAAAGTTTCTCAAGGAGGAATTGGAATTTTAGTTCTTTCAGAAGGTTACATAATTGAACAATAATCATGAGCAGTTGAAACAAGTGGAATTGTGTCTTCAATTAAAAAATTATGGAACCCTCTTCTCTGTTCCAGGAACTCTCTACTCTCTTCCAGGTGCTACCCTAAGCATTGGGAACATAGAGATGAATACAAATGATTTTTAACCCATAAATATAATAGTCTACTGTGGAGTACAACAATTTCAGTCCAATTTGATAAGTGCAATGAATAGGAGAATTCAAGATGTCTTGAAAGCAAGGAAAAGTGTCTGCACTCCAGTGTATGTATATTGGGGCAGGTAAGGTTGAACAAGGCCCACTGTGAGTGTACGCACCCCAAACTACATGTAACAATGATTGCAAGCTTCATGAGTACATGATTTTTTTATCTATTTTGTTTGCTACTTTATCTCCAGTGCCTATAACAGTGAGTGCCTGGCATATATCAGTTGCTCAAAAAAATGCTGATGAAAAAAAATTAATTACTTTTCCTTTTGATGCTACACTATTAATTTATATAACTTAATTTACATATTCATATTACATACTTTGGGATCTATAGAGTTGTTCATTGGAACGGGGAAAATTATAAATATTTATACTATCTTATGCAACCAATAACTTTTAGAAACATCACCTTATGAAGCAGAAAATATACTTGAGTTATTATTACTTTAGTCTCATAAGAGAATGCACTAATAAATTATAAATACAAAACCAGAACTGCACAGGTTTCTTGGGGTCTACAGATAAGAGATTAACTAGACTCAGTTGTAAACACAGCTATGAGCTCCTCTTGCAATTATAATTGCTGGACTCAGATCAGAGAGTTCACAAAAGCAAAAGAAAAACCAAAAGGCATTAGCCACTCAATTTGCTACTATTTTTTACATTTAATTGGTTGTTTTCTCTGTTTAGTGTTAATATAAAGAATAAAAGAGAGGAATTTGAAAATGTACAAAAGCTTTCCCCCTAAATGCCACGAGAATAAATAATTGGTGGACACTCTCATGATCTCTACTAAAACTAAGAGATTCCTAACAGAAATATTGGAGCCTCATTCAAGACGGCCTTGAAGAAATTTAAAGAAAACACAAAATCATCACTGGGAAGCAGGAAAAGGCAAGATGGTCAAATAGCCTTTCCTTTGATAACTTCCTTATATTTAGTTTTTTGGGGGAACTATATATCTGAATTTTGAGACTCCGTTTCTGCCTGAGATAGGCTGTCACGGTCTTGTAAAACTGTGGGTATTTTTTTTTTTTTCTTTTTGAGTTTAGACATTTCAAGATTTCTTCCTGCTTACCAATGAGCTCACCTCTCTTTTCTCCTCATTATACCTTTATTTATACATGACATATATTCACTTTAAAAAGTATCAGAGAAAACTTGGAGAGTGGCCTTCTAGATAACATTTTCTAATTAAATGTGGAAATAGAATTTAAGGTGAAAGACATTCATCCAACATGCTCTTGGCGCTTTTGAATCTGAAGCTAGAATAACTGCAATCTTACCAGTCATATGCTTAGTAACACTGTCTATAAAATGAGCATAATAAATCATTTTACTGGTGCATATAGTGCTCTTCATTTAGAGAAAAAAACTTTTATAATCTCATATGTTATACCGTGCCACTGATTCATTACATGACATTGTAGGGGCATGTAAAATGCATACTGAGTGAAATTTGGATTCATATTTTATGATATTAAAATTCAGCTTTCCTGATTGCAAGATGTTAATTTCTAAGTTTTACAAAATTCTTGAGTTAAAGAATTTTAGGTATTTCATTTAAACAACAACAAAAAATTATACCACACATGCTATGACCTTAGTTAACTTGTAATTCCATCCTAAAAATTATTCAATGACTCATATAAATCCTTTCTGCTCAGATTCTACTTCACTGTCTAATTAGGGAACTCCTAACTATAGGTTATCTCACCCAAGACAATAAAAACAGCTTTTAACCCTTTTTTTTTCAATGCTTTAGTAAACCACATTTTTTTAGGCAAGCAAATAATTTATGTTGATTCTATGGTCCGTGATGAGTTTCTGTCTGTGTCAAAAGCCAAAAATGTACATGATGAAAAATTTCTCCTGAAGTGTGCAATTCTGTCAGACAAGATGATAGCTAGCTGATCTTGACCTCATCGAAAGCACATAGGAAAAGGCTGGGCACAGTGGCCCAGCCTGTAATCCCAGCACTTTGGGAAGCCAAAGGGGGAGTATCACCTGAGGTCAGGAGTTCAAGACCACCCTGGCCAACATGGCAAAACCTCGTCTCTACTAAAAATACAAAAATTAGCCTGGTGTGGTGGCACATGCCTGTGATCCCAGCTACTAGGGAGGCTGAGGCAAGAGAATCGCTTGAACCTGGAAGGCGGAGGTTGCTGTGAGCCGAGATTGAGCCACTGCACTCCAGCCTGGGTGACAGAGCGAGAATCCATCTCAAAAAAAAAAAAAAAAAAAAAAAAAAAACACTTAGAAAAACCTCTCAGGTGCAGTTTCTGGTTGGACCAGAGTAGACTTGAAAGCAATAAGGAGGTTCGGTCAAAAGATGCATCTTGGGACTAGCTCCTGGTCTTTCCTTTTTGTAATATTTGCTTTTCTTGCCAATGGCCAAGGAAGGCAAACTGAACAACCAAGTGAGCTGGGAATTAGAATCAAATGGAGAAACTTCATTTTCATCAGCCTTCAAGCTCCCATTCTTCCTATTTCTCTGACTCAGTCCCAGGGTTTTCCTTTCTAAAATGTTTGTCATTCCTGACTTCAACTTTGATTAAAACTTAGTCTTTATCCTATGATTATTGTTTTCTTGTATGACTTGATAATTCAGTAGTTTGATTTCATTCGTCAGAATTTTAATATATCAAAAGCAAAAGTTAATAAAATTACTAATTTTGCTAACAAATTTTTCATTCCTCATTTCTTTTCTTCTAAGTAAAAACTAACAAACTTTTAACATTAAGGCAAAATCAGATATTGAAACCATTGATTACATTCATTACATTTACTAATGGAGGTCAAAAAGATTTATTTCTGAAATACACAGAATATTTTATTGGAGCACCATTTCTTATTCAAGGACAACGAAATTTTGAGTAAAAACATCCTACCCCAAAGATATATGTTGAAAGCTGCATGCTTCAATATGTTTAGATATTTAACACTGGGAGACACAGCACCTTAATCTCCAGCAATACTGATAAACAAAATTTAACTTGTAAGAAAGAAGTATACTGAAATCACCTAATGTGTATGTCTTTCTCTAGAAATAGTTGGGTGCAGTGGCTCATGCCTGTAATCCCAGCACTTTGGGAAGCCGAGGCGGGCAGATCATTTAAGGTCAGGAGTCTGAGACCAGCCTGGCCAACATGGTGAAACCCCATCTCTACTAAAAATACAAAAATTAGCCAGGCGTCGTGGTGGGCACCTGTAATCCCAGCTACTCAGGAGGCTGAGGCACAAGAATCGCTTGAACCCAGAAGGCAGTGGTTGCAGTGAGCCAAGATTGCTCCACTGCACTCCAGCCTGGACTATACAGCAAGATTCAGTCTCCAAAAAAAAAAAAAAAAAAAGAGTTAAAACCTGATTCTATTATCTTCTTAGGGGAAAGACTATATATGTTTCTACTTCTCTCACCTTTAAAATATCTAAAACTTCTTCAAATACTTGTATTGACTTGAACTGACTTTTCATTTGTGAATGGCTAATTATGTGCAGAAGACCTTCCTGTATCTCTGAAATGCCCCATTGTGGTTGTCAAGGGTCAGTCTCAGTTCTTGTTTTGGTTTTCTTTGCTGTGGTTGCTGTAGGTTAGTTTATGGAGTACTTTTGATTTGGCTTTATCAAGTCATAAAGAAAGAAAACCAGAGAGAATTTAGAAAGAACTTCTTAAAAACTACTTGCCCACATGGTAAATTCATTACGTTTAAGAGCTGGAAGTGTCTGTGGGATCTTATCTTGTCCAACCCCTTGATTTTTATAAATAATTAAATTCAGAGGCACTGTGACTTACCTCGGGATACATGGCTAGTTAAAATTGCAAATAGAGGCCAGGTTCGGTGGCTCGCACCTGTAATCCCAGCACTTTGGAAGACTGAGTTGGGCAGATCACTTGAAGTCAGGAGTTTGAGACCGGCCTGGCCAACATGGTGAAACCCTGTCTCTACTAAAAATACAAAAATTAGCAGGTGAGGTGGTGCGTGCCTTTAATGTCAGCTACTCAGGAGGCTGACACACGAGAATCGCTTGAACCCGGGATGTGGAGGTTGCAGTGAGCCAAGATTGAGCCACTGCACTCTAGCCTGGGTGACAGAGTGAGAATCTGTCTCAAAAACAAACAAACAAACAGATTGCAAATAGAAAAGTGATTCCTAGCATGTAGTTCAGAAAACTTCCTATTATTCCTACGCCATTTCTCAGATGACAGTTTTGCTTTTTTGTTTTGTATTTTAGTAAACCTAATAAACACCAGTTTGAACACTGTAAAGCAGTTTCTAATATGTAGAAAGCCTTTGATTTCCATTCTATTTACTTTACTATATTTAGCAATAAAAAGTCTGTTTCAGTATTTATTTTTGCCTAATCATGGCTATATTACACATGCCTCAAAAATTAGGTTTTTAAAACACTCTATAAAAGTAGAATTAACATGAATCTTGATATAGAATAATTTGATTTTTATGTCATATGTGAAATATTTTTCGTATTTATCAATCAAATTAGGGATAGCAATATAGGGATAGCAATCAAATTAGGGAAAGCAATAAATAAGAATAATTGGTTCTTCAGAGAGCGCATTTGAAAGTCAATGCTGAATGTCATTTTAAATAAAATACAGTAATTCATGTGTATTAAAAAAAAAACAAAACTGAAATGGGGTCAGGGCAGTGTCTCATGCCTGTAATCCCAGCACTTTGAGAGGCCGAAGTGAGCAGATCACTTGACGTCAGGAGTTCGAGACCAGCCTGGGCAATGTGATGAAAACCTGTCTCTTCTAAAAATACAAAAATTAGCCAGGCATGGCAGCACGTGCTTGTAGTCCCAGTTTTTGGGGAGGCTGAGGTGGGAGAATAACCTGAGCCTGGGGAGTAGAGGCTGCAGTGAGTCAACATTATGCCACTGCACTCCAGCCCGGGCAACAGAGTGAGACCTTGTCTCAAAAAGAAAAGAAAAATGAAATGTATATATGGATTCATATACACAATATTTAATTAAGTTCAAAATGTGCTAAGCACACAATTACATTTAGTCTAAAAGAGTATTTAAAAGTTGCTATTCAAACTATTTACTAGATTTCTTCTTTTAACTATTCAAACTATTTACTAGATTTCTTCTGTTCATTTTAAAAATGAACAAGTAAATTTTTTAATATATAGAGAAACAATGCATAACAAAAGATATATTCATAACCCAAGCGAATGTTTACTCATGATTTGGACTATAATAAATTGACAATCTATTTGTTAATATTTACTGATAATGAGATATTAGTTTCTTTGGGCATGTGAATTCTTCTTTGTCAAAAGTCTTCTTTCATGTAGATGTAATCTGAAAGTTCTTTTTGGTTGAGGAAAGTAGGGAAGCATAATAAAAGGCAAAATGCCTCTCAAAGGAAAAGATGCAGTGGTGCCAACTTGTTGATATCTTTTTCCCAGTAAGCTAAGGTAAAGAAGCCAATGCTCAGGTTAGTTTGCAGGACTTATATTGAACATTTTTCTCCTTCCAGGTCTATTTCTCTGAGAGAAGATGAGATTTTTGATGGCATATATATTATGATTCCAGAATATATTTTATTCTTAAGTTAAAATTTTTGCTTGTTATTTTTTGTGTTATGTAATCAGACATGATGATTCTGGAAAAATAGAACCTGTATACCTTCACTATATCACATTTCCTTTTCAGAATTTTTTCTGGTCCAAGAGATCATTATATATCCTCTCGTCTAACTGCTGCTCTGCCCTCTTAGTCCTCAGAAAAAACAACTATAACAACTTGTGCCTGATTTTCTTTTAATACTAGAGAGAGAGAGGAATTTTATGTAAATTATTTACTTAAACACTTTTTATTCTACTGGGAAGCTTTTCTTGGCTCACTAACAAACAGTAAGAGTCAACAAAATATAAGGAAAATATGAAGGTTTTAGATTTGAATTTTTCAGATTTCAGATTTCTCTTCCTCTTAGTTATCTAACAGTAATTTTCAATGAGTATCTAATTACTCATTGGCTTTCATGAATTTATTATAAAATCAAATAAGAATTTCATATAAATACAATAGTGTTTTCTTACCAACAGTTGTACTCACCATTGGAATACCATATTAAGTGGTAAGCTGAAATTAAACAACTTATCATAAATATTTTAAATCTTATGTTTTAGATATTTTAAGGCTCAATGAACAATAGCGGGCCCAGACCCATGGTGTCACATAGATTTAAAAGCTAAATTCAAGTTTAGTTTACAAAGAGAAAGCAGACTCAAACTTAAACTCAAATGTATTTTACAATAGAAAGAGAAGTTTATATAAGTACACTGATTTTCAATTCAATAGTTCAAATAATACTCAAGGAGGACAGAATGGATGTCACAAGAATTCCTCCAATAAAAACATTCATTTGTCTTTTATTCTTTCTTTAAGATTTTTCTTCTTAGCAATTGTGCATTATTATCTCTATAACTGTTATTTCCTTACTTGTGACTCCCAGGCCTATTTAAACTGTGGTTCTAGAAATTTAAATGCTAATTATTTTGTTCAATCTTCTTCATTTGGTGCCTCATTATTACCTCCAATGAAACATGCCTAAAATTGTCATCTACTTCCTCTCCTAATGTCTCTATCCATAGAAGTCTCATAAACAGTCTCTTGATGCCAAAACTTTAAACTTCAGCGTTATCCAGATATCAATCCACTTCTCAGTATCTAGTCAATAAACGATTTCTGGTGAATCCTCTTTCAAAAGGTCTATCAATCACTTCTTCCAAGTACCTGTCTTAGGTTGATTTTCCTAGAAATGGAATATGAGGCAACAATTTGGGCACATGTAATTCATGGTGGCAGTGTTGTCATGAGATAGGGAGTGAAGGAAGCAGATACAGCAGGGGAAGATCCCATGGGGGCCTGTGGAGCATAAATTGTGGCAGAGTTGGCCCCATCCTGAGGCAAGGGGCCTGCCTTCTGTATTTCCACATCAGTCATTGGTTCTGTGGAAAGGCATGTAACCTCCTGGGCAAAGAAGCTCCCATTTTTTCAAGAGCAATCATCTATAAAAGGCAGCAGCTATGAGTCTTTTGTGCCAACACTCACAGGAGCTGGAGGATGAGTATTCCAGTCCTCTAAGGTGGATCTCGAAGGAGCACCAACAGTGTACTCAAGTCAAATTTTGGTTATACTATCATATATTTTACTCAAAACTTTGCCCTTTACTGATATTGGAGAAATTCTGAGAGGATTAGTAATGATGTTAAAGGCCATTTCTCCAAATATTCTTCCTAGTATATTCACAAATTACATTTCAATAAATATTTATAAAATCTATTTCACTGTTATAATATGTATACAATTATCATCTACAACCATAAATAATTTTAATGATATTTTAGATGTGATAGAATAATTTACTCTCTGAATTCTGATTTTTAGCAGGTAACCATTATTTAATGCACTCAAATGCAGACCAGATGCATGCATATACAGATGTCCAAACAAGCACATGTACACACAAGCTGGTTTGGACACAAACATTTTGGGGTTTCCTGCATGGCCATCAAGAGAGTCAGTAAAGCAAGATGGAAGGGCCAGGCAGAATTTATGTTCCGAGGCTCTTCCCATCTTGCATTGATCAAAGTTTGGGCTCTGTGGGCTAACCTTTGTTCAATGTAAGATGGGAACAGCCTAGGAACATAAATCTTTTCAGTCTTATTTTAGTGGGCCATATTAATGGACATTACTTCCTTGTACCCCCAGGAAAGTACTGTGGGCCAAGTAAGCATGCCTGCTGAGTCACTTGCTGGGTCTCTCTGGGGATCCTTGTGAAACCATGCCAAATGTGGTAATGCATCACATTACATTGCTTTTTAATACTTTCTTTGCCTCACTTTCCTTTTATCCTTATCCTTACTGCAGCGGGGGTGCTCTTCCCAAATAAAGAATAAAAATTTTATCCTTGCTTCAAATTCTGGTTTCTTTTTCTGCTATTCCAAGTGTTGCTTCACAATCAATTTCACAATGGAAATCAATACACTGCTTCTTTCATTGAGAAATTCTTACCTTGAAAAAATCTACTGAAATAAACAGGGTGCTCAGTGTCATAGTTGACTTATATTCTTGTATAAGTTCCTTATCCCATTGTGGACTGATAAAAAACTGTTTATCAATCAGCTAACAGTCTGTGGGTTACTCTTTGAGAAGCTGTTTTAGAAGAACAAGGCTGAGACACACAGCATAATGAGATGTCTCTATAATCTATTTCCTCTCTCTTTTCTCTTATAATGACAATGACTAATAACAATCTGGAAAGATTTGTGATGCTTTGACAAATAGAATTGGGTAGAAGTGATACTGTGTTCCTTCCCAAGGCTGGCTCATACCAGTTTTTGCATTTACAACACCACCCAGCTGTGAGAAAAACAAGCTATGAAAAAAGAATATATCCATGTGCTCTGCACAGTAGTACTAGACTTCCAGTCATCCCAGGCCAGGTGCCAGATAAGAAAATGAGCAAGTCTTTAGATGATTCCACTTGTGCTCATACATTCATTCTTAGACTTTGAGTCTACTCAGACCCAACAAAGTAAGGCAAAGTCAAGCCTTTCCTGTTGTACTCTGTTCGAACTACTGACCACTGAGTCTGTGAGCAAAATAAAGTTGTTGTTTTAAGAGGCTAAATTTTAGAGTAATTTGTTAGGCAACAATACTAACTGGAAAACAAATGATGACTTTTTAAAGTTCTAAAACTTTTTTTCACTTAGATGAATTATTAATCCTACTAAATCAATCAGCAAAGAACGCTTCTTAATGGTTTCTATTAACTAGTAAAGTAAAAACTATATAAACTAATGACCTCTAATATGCATAGTTACTGCAAATGCTTCCATTGCATTCATGGAAGCATTCCCCCCCAGTAGGATTGGGGAAAATGGAATATTTACCTATCCAAAAACATTCATGAAAAGAATACCCTACACCCAATTTTATATTCTAAGAAACTTATAATTCTGTCAGTTTCTTTCAAGAGAAAATGGGTTAAAATCCACAGCAGCAGAAAGGACATTTGGGAAAGGTAAAAATGTTCTAAACTAACACCTTTACATTTCAAGCAGTTTGTATCCAACCTACTGATAAAAGGAGTGCTGGGAATGGAAGACTGTGGTCCCTTTAAATGACACAGAAAGGGGGAAGGGAAGTGCTGGGTAGAGGAAGGGTGTAGTCCCTGGCTAGGGCTCCACCCCCACGGACCAAGATAAGTACAGTCACTCCTGCCTTCATGCCCAAATGTCGCCTTTCCCAAGACCACTCTGGCCTGCCACACTCCCATCCTGTGCCTATAAAATCCTGAGACCCTAGCGGGCAAACACACAAGCAGCTGAATGTCGTGAAAAACACATTGGCAGAAGAAGACACAACTGGTGGTCATCAAGAGCATGCTGGCAAAAGAACATGCCAACAGGCACTAGCAGCCTGGCAGGCCATAACCCAGGGAGCAAGGCAGTTTGGTGAGGGCAGTCGGAGGAGACCTGGGGCCGCTGAGCTGCCCAATTCCAGGAGAAATTATCTCCCTTCTGGCTCCCCAGTCAGCGGAGAGCTACTTCCACTCAGTTAAACTTTGCCCTGGTTCTCCAAGTGCACGTGTGATCCTATTCTTTCCATACACCAAGGCAAAAACCCAGGATACAGAAAGCCCTCTGTCATTGAGACAAGGTAGAGGGCCTAATTGAGCTGGTTCACACAAGCTGCCTATACACTGCAAACTAAAAGAGTACCCTGTAGCACATGCCCACTGGAGCTTCAGTTGTAAACATTCACCCCTAGTCACTGCCATTGGGTCAGAGCCCCTTAGCCTGCCCATCTGTATGCTCTTCTAGAGGTTTAAGCAGCAGGGCACTAAAAAAGCAAGCCACACCCCCATCACATGCCCTGCGAGGGGGACAAGGGAGCCTCTCCTGTTTCACTACTGGGCTACATCTGGGCTTAAATAATTATTGTTCAAATTGACACTTGGGAAAATAAAATCATTACTCTAACCATGTCCTTTAGGATAAATTACAAATTTTATTACATTTTTTCTATATAAAATTAGCTCCAACTACATTTTTAATTAAACCTATATTTTAAATATTTAGTAAATGGCATTTAATAATTATACATTGATATGCAAATGATTACTTCCTACATTAGGCACACTTTTATCCTTTCAATAGGTTAAGCATAGTCTGTAATTGGTAGTCCAAAAAGATTTACAGTTGATGTGTAATTAATTTTATAGAGAGTTCATTGTGGAAAGAGACTTGCTTTTACCTATCTGAATCTGAGTTCTTTCCTCTACATTTTAATCAACTTAATATGACCAAATATTTCTATTGCTATTATCTTATTTTAAAGCATTAGCACATCATTGAATTTATGCAAGTAAAATTGTCCCTGTTTGCAGATGGCATAATCATATATATAAAACACCCTGAAGACTCCACCAAAAAGCTGTGAGAACTAATACATGAATTAAGTAAAGTTGCAGGATACGAAGTCAATACACAAAACTCAGTAGTATTTCAATACACCAATAATAGTACTATTTGAAAAAAAATAAAAATTCATTTAAAATAGTGTAAAAAATAAGATAAAATACCTAGAAATAAGCATAACCAAGGAAGTGAAAGAGCTCTACAACAAAAACTATGAGACATTGATAAAACAAATTGAAGAGAATACAAATAAATTGTGAGATATCCCATGTTCATGGATTGAAAGAATTAATATTGCTAAAATGTCCATATTACCCAAAACAATCTACAGAGTCAATACAATCCCTAACAAAACACCAATGGCATTCTTTACAGAAATAGAAAAAACAATCTTAAAGTGTATATAAAATGCAAAATACCCCAGATAGCAAAAATAATCTTGAGCAAAAAAAATAAAGTTAGAGACATCATACTACCTGACTTTAAAATATACTACAAAGCTATAGTAAACAAAACAGCATGCTACTGGCATAAAAACAGATGCATAGACCAATGGAATAGAATAGAGAATCCAGAAATAATTCCATGCATTTATAGCCAATTGATTTTCAAAAAAGTGCCAAGAACACACACTGAAGAAAGAACAGTCTCTTCAATAAATAATGTTGGGAAAACTGAATAATTATTTGCAGAAGAATGAAACAAGACCTCTACCTCTCACTGTATACAAAAATCAACTCAAAGTAGATTAATGACTTAAATGTCAGAAGTAAAACTATGAAACTACAAGAAGAAAACATAGGGTAAATTCTCCTTGAAATTTGAGCAAAAATTTTTTTACTCAGATCTCAAAAGACCACATAACAAAAGCAAAAATAGGCTAATGGGATTACATCAAACTAACAAGCTTCTACACAACGAAGAAAACAATCAGTAGAGTGAGGAGACAACCTACAGAATGGGAGATAATATCTGCAAACTAGGCATCTGACAAGGATTTAAAATTCAGAATATATAAGAAACTAAAAAACTCAATAGCAAAAAATCAAATACTCTGATATAAAAATATGAAAAAGACCTGAATAGATATTTCCTAAAAGAAAACATACAAATGACCAACAGGTATATAAACAAATGCTCAACAGTACTAATGGTCAGGGAAATGCAAATCAAAGCCACAACAAAACATCATCTCACCTTAGTCAGAATGTCTACTATCAAAAAGACAAAAAATAACAAATGCTGACTAGGATTTGAACACAGGGAAACTTTGTGTGTGTGTGTGTGTGTGTGTGTGCGTGTGTAAGAGCACGCTTTATTGGGAAGCAGAGGGCTATACAGTGAGCAACAGATGAAGGCTGCCCAGTAGGCATTTTTTACATCATACTCCAAAAGACACACAGGGGGTTTTGCTAATAAAAATCAACTAGAAAATGGATTCCTCTGGGCAACTTCTCCAACCTCATCCCTTTTAGGGCTCAGGATATCTCCCAACTATTTTTCTGATGGCAACTGTGGTTTACTAGAGATAGAGCCCCTCAGGGGTGCCCTTATTTTTTATAAAGAATATTTTCTTATGTTTTTTTGAAGTCTTCATTTGTTACTTTCATTCTACTTTCTCTTAAGGTCATCAGATCACCTTCTGTACAGACTGCCTTGATGTCAGCACCAAAGAGGTCATCTTTGGCCGTAATCAAGTTGTCCAGGGTTACATCACTGGCCAAAGTCGTGTTGTTCATGTGAATCTGAAAAATGTACTTCTTCATCCTTTTATCAGGCAGGGGGAACTCAGTCTTCCTGTCAATGTAGCCTGGCCTGGTAAGTGTTGGATCCTAAGTTTCTATTTGGTTTGTGGCTATGATAACTTTAATATCTCCCCTTGAATCAGATCCATGCAACTGGTTCAACAGTTCCAACATTGTTCACTAAATTTCTCTCTCACCACCAAAATTTGAGTCATAGTTTTTCCCAATGGCATCAATTTCATCAATAAACATGATGAAAGGTGCATATTCTTCAGCAGCTCAAAACAATTCCCATGTGAGTTTGGGCCCATCACCAAGGTACTTCTGAATAAGTTCAGAACCAACCACCCTCAAGAAAGTGGCTGAGGTTTGACATGCTACTGCTTTGGCTAACAAGGTTTTACCTGGGGCATATGGACCATAGAGAATGACCCCCTTATCTGGCTTTAAACCCATCTCTTAATAATATTCAGGATGAGTGAGAGGAAGCTCCACAGATCTCTTACTTAATTTCCTGGATTTGGTTGTCCAACCACCAATACTGGCATAGGTCTCCTGGGGACCATTTCCACCTTCATCACTGTGACTAAGGAATCTGTGTCATTCATCAGCACCCTTTTCATGGTATTCAACTTGCGGTTGAGCGGGACCAAGAAGCCAGTTCCAACAGATCCTTGTCTACAAATAAAAGAAAGCTGATGTAGTGTTCTGACCCCGCATATCTAGACACAATGGTGTGACTGCCATCAATGATCTCTTCCAAGGTTTCTAGTGTCATAGTGGTCCCCCTCAGGTCATCCGCTTTTGCTTTTCCCTCCTAATGCTTTTCTTCTAATGGTTTTATCTGTTCCTGATTTCTAATGGCTTCTTCCTCCATGAGAATAGAGTCTTTCATTCTCACTAATTTCAATAATTTTAACTGGCATTGAATGTGAGGTATCACCAGTGGCAGTTTGCTGGCAGCATCTGGTCTTTTTGTTTTCTCCTTCTTTTCCTCCCCTATAATTGGTACAAGAGGTTCATATTTCTTTTTATTGTCCTTGTCATCCTTCTTGCCACCTCTAGGACCATAACCACCACTCTGACTTTGACCCATCTTGCCTTGGCAACTCGAGTTTCTGCTGCCAGAAGTACCTCCACCAGAAAGGAGAACTCTTTACACTGTTGGTGGGAATGTAAATTATACTGTAAATAAACAGTATGGATGTTCCCCAAAAAATTAAAAATAGAATTACCATATGATTCAATAATCCCATCATTGGGTATATATCCAAAAAAAGGAAATCAGTATGCTGAAGAGATATCTTCACTGCCATGCTTATTGCCATGCTATTCACAATAGTCAAGATGTGAAAGCAACCTAAGTGTCCATCAATAGATGGATGGATAAAGAAAATGTGATATATTGGGGGTTGGGGGAAAGGGGGAGGGAGAGCATTAGGACAAATACCTAAGGCATGCGGGGCTTAAAACCTAGATGATGGGTTGATAGGTGCAGCAAACCACCATGGCACATGTATACCTACGTAACAAACCTGCACATTCAGCACATTTATCCCAGAATTTAAATTAAAAAGAAGAAAATGTTACATATATGATATATATGTGTATATGATATATATATACACACAATGGAATACTATTCAGCCATAAAACAAATGAAATCCTGTCATTTGCAATAACATGAATGAACCCAGAGGACATCGTGTTATATAATCTAAACACAGAAAAACAAACACGAAACACCACATAATCTTACTTGTGTGTGGAATCTAAAAAAAGTTGATTTCATAGAAATAGTACAATAGTTGTTACCAGAGGCTGGGAAAGGTAGTGGGGAAGGGAACAAGGAGAGATTACTCAGCAGGTACAAAGTTACAATTAGGAAGAATTCGTTCTGGTGTTCTATTACCCAGTAGAGTGACTATAGCAAATAAAAATGTGATACATATTTTAAGATAGCCAGAAGAGAAGAGTTCCAATGTTATCACCACAAAGAAATGATAAAAATTTAAAGTGATGGATATGATAATTACCCTAATGTGATCATTATATAATGTATTCATGCACTGAAACATTACATGTATCCTGTAAATATATAATTATTGTCAGTTACAAATTCAAAAAATTAATACTAAAAAAAGGAATGGAGCTAAATCTTTGAACTAAAAAGATCAAGTCCAGTGGTGTGTAACTCATTAGGCTGTATCCTCTGTGTTATGATATTCACAAATATGATTTCATAAAAAATGGCATCACATGCAAAATGTATTTTTATTTGCTTTGAATTGTAGATTATTTCTATTTTCTGCTTGTTTTTGTGCTTTTTCATGCCAACCTTTCATGAATATTTCAGCCTAATCTTTTGTTTGTTTCTAGAGAAATCCTGCTCATGAAAATCCCTTATCACCCCTGAGCCTCATCCCTGAGCATTAAAAAAAACCATGTTCTTAGGGAACAAAAGGATAACCTCAAGTAATAGAAGTGAGTTTTCATTCAATCCCTTCCTAAGCAAAGTGAGATAACAAGACAATTATACATTGTAATATTAATTCTTTAGATTACATGCAAATGAGTCCTACTTGGTTCAAATAACTCTGTTTTTTTCTACTGCCCACAGAATAATTATTTAACACCTATCTTGGCCCTAGATATTTAGACTTTTACCCAAAAAGCTTAGTATTTATTTTCTAGTGATTGCTATAACAAATTACTACAAACTTGGTCACTTAAAACAACAGAAAGTTATTCTCTCACTGTTTTGGAGGCCAGAAGTCTGAAATTTAGGTGTTGGCAGAGCTCCACTACCTCTGGGGGATGTATGGGAGCATCCATTCCTTGCCTCTTTCAGCTTCTGGTGGTTTGTCATATTCTTTGATTTGTGTCCACATCACTCCAGTTTCTGCCTCAGAGTCACATCGCTTCCTTCCCTTGGGTGTTTCTTTTGTAAGGACACTTGTCACTGGATTTAGAATCTATCTGGATAATCTAGCATCTCCTCACATCTTCATTTCAAAATCTCTAACTTAATTACAACTGCAAACATCCTTCAATTACACATTCCAGAAGTTAGGACATGGATGTATTTTCAGCGAGGCCACCAATCAGCCCACTAGACTTTGATTAAGTTTCACTCATGAGTTCCTCTTTGATTTACCAATCAGACATGGTACCGCTTTATTCATCTTTAGGATGTTAATGCTGGATGAAAATACTTTGTACTTGTATCATTTGTGGCATACTCAATTGCAAGAATTGCGATGTGGTTTGGCTGTGTCCCCACCCAGATTGTAGCTCCCACAGTCCCTACGTGTCATGGGAGAGACCCAGTGGGAGGCAATCAAATCACAGGGGTGGGTTTTCCCGTGCTGTTCTCCGAATAAGTCTCACAAGATTAGATGGTTTTATAAAGGGGAGTTCTCCCTCTCCCCCTCTCCCCCTCTCCCCCTCTCTCCCCCTCTCTCCCCCTCTCTCCCCCTCTCTCCCCCTCTCTCCCCCTCTCTCCCCCTCTCTCTCTCTCCCCCTCCCCCTCCCCCTCCCCCTCCCCCTCCCCCTCTCTCTCTCTCTCGCCTGCCAGCATGGAAGATGTGCCTTTGCTGCCTTTGCTCCCTTCTCCCTTCCGCCATGATCGTCAGACCTCCCCAGCCATGTGGAACTGTGAGTCAATTAAACCTCTTTCCTTAGTAAATTACCCAGTCTCAGGTAGGTCTTTATTAGCAGTATGAGAACAGACTAATACAAATTGTTTTATTTTTCACCTCTAATTAGAAAAGAGGCACATATAACAAATATCAGTCAAATAAATAATTTAGACTGCATAAAATCTTCAGCATTGCAATCACACTCTGAATGTTATTTATACAGAAAGTCTTCAGCAACTAAAATTAACACACTCTCAAAGTACAAAAATCTACAAAGGAACATATAGATGAAATTATTCATACATTTCCATTTATATTAACAGAATACTTTTTCTATTTTAACTTGTATTGGGTCACTTTATTCTACAGTTAGATCATATTAGTTTCTTCCATTCCTTCTTCAAATAGTAGTGAATGCTGCTCGGTTCAAACCTTCTCTTTTCATATGCCTTATCTCTCTTAATGACATCATCATCCATTAAAAGCTGGAAATGTGCCATTCCATTCTTCTCCTTCTTTCACCTGTTCCACAGCCAGTCACTGATAAAGTCCTATGGATCTTACCTTCTAAATATCTTTTAATGCATTAATTCTCTCCACCTGTCTTCCCTATTTCCCCCATTGTCTTGGTTCAGACACTTATCAACTCTTATTTGATCAATGTAAATAGTAATGTAATATTCCTAGTTCCCGTAAGGCCTCACCCATGACTTCCCGCACACTGCCTTTGATTACTGGTCCCTTTCCAAAACACAAACCCACTCACTTCATTCTCTGACTTAGAAAACTCCTAGAGTTCCATGCTCACATGCTAAAGTCTGAATTATGCTTTATGACATACAAACCTATCTAGAATCTCTTCCAATCACCTCCAACTCCCCCCACATTCCAGCTAAATTGAAGTTTACACTATTCTTTAAGAATTTTCTAATTATTTTGCTCTTGAGTGTTTTATCTGGAAAGCTCAGTACTAACTACTCTTTATCCTTGTTTAATGACACATTCCTATTTATCTTTCAATAAACAATTCAAATATCTCTCATTCTGTGACATCTGCCTCCAAAAGTTCTTATTGATCACGGTGATATTTTTACATATAAAAAATAGGATTGGCCGGGCTCGGTGGCTCAGGCCTGTAATCCCAACACTTTGGGAGGCCAGGCGGGTGGATCACGAGGTCAGGAGATCGAGACCATCCTGGCCAACACGGTGAAACCTCATCTGTATTAAAAACCCAAAATATTAGCCAGGCGTGGTGGCAGGTGCCTGTAGTCCCAACTACTCAGGAGGCTGAGGCAGGAGAATGGCGTGAACCCGGAAGGCGGAGCTTGCAGTGAGCCAAGATCTCGCCACCGTACTCCAGCCTGGGCGACAGAGCGAGACTCCGTCTCAAAAAAAAAAAAAAAAAAGGATTAACATTTATATATTACTCACCTGTAAGGCCTATTGTTAAAATGTTGAAATAGTTTCATTCTGCCTTTATTATTAGGTAGAGTCCTAAACTATCTTCCCAATGATCATGGCTGCCAGGTCCTTCTCCGGAACCTCAAATCTCCCCATCATCAAACACTAAAAGAGAAATACTTGATTCTCCAAGGAGGCTGCAGGAACTTGTTGCAATACTATGGTTAACAATGATTCTGATTTGTCAATGCCTGTATGTTGTTATAATTTTTAAGATTTTTAAATATTACCTCTGACTAAGAAGGAAATCAGAGAGTTAATACTCTCTCAATTTTATAATTTAGAGCATCTTCCATGAGTAGAAACTATTCAATTATGCTAGAAACTCAAGAGTTAATCATATGCCCTTAAAGGATCTATAGTTAGCAAGAAAAATGATATATTTATGTACATAAACTAATATATCTTATATCATATAACTGAGTCATGCATAGTGCAAAGAACTATGTGTTACAGAAGAGGAAGCAATCACTGCTGGCCAGATGAAATAGAAATGAAACCTGACAAATGCACGCAATTTTAGTAAAGGTAGAAAGGTACATCAGGAAGGCAATTCCCAGTTGAGCTGAATATTTGGTGCAAGCAATGACTGAGATAATAGTGATAGAGGCAAGAGACAGACAAATGCTGTCCCGGTCATTGTGCACAGGGGGTTTGCCTAAACGTGCCCATGGTGAAAAATCCCGTCCCTTAACACTTGCGCAGTAAGGGAAATAAATCAATGTGGAGTGGCTCAGACTAGGGGCCCACGTGTGCACTGGAAGAATGGGGTGGAGCCAGGAGGAATTGGTGCCTTATCCAGGGGAGGAGCCGAGCCTCTTCAGCACATGATGGGTGGCTGGTATTCAATTTTTGTGAGGTAGAAAACCTGCGTCCAGGACCCCTCTTTTTGTTGAGAGCTTTCCTTTTGCTTAATAAATTCCGCCCTCCTCGCCTTTCAGTGTGTCTGCGTCCCGCACTTTTCCTGGTCATGAGTCAAGAACCTGGATTTTAGCTGAACTAAGAAGAAAAAAATCCTGCATCAATAGTATGTGCGCAATGATAGTGGTTAAATCAGTTTGACCCAAACATTTGATGTACATAAGTAAACAGGAAAAATTAAGCCAATAAATATATGATGGGAAGCATGACAAGGAAGACTAAGGAGTGGGCATTTGTTCAATGGGCAGTGGTTTTTTTTTGACAATATTATTTAAAATTGTGGGGAAAAAAGAGCAGGTAATTGTTAATAAAGCAATGGTTAAAACAGTTATGATACATTCATACGACGGAATTTTTTAAAAACGGGGTAGATCCATATTTATTGACAGAAACCACTATGACAAACTAACTTATAAAAGCAAGTCCGGCCGGGCGCGGTGGCTCACGCCTGTAATCCCAGCACTTTGGGAGGCCGAGGCAGGTGGATCATGAGGTCAGGAGATCGAGACCATCCTGGCTAACAAGGTGAAACCCCGTCTCTACTAAAAATACAAAAAATTAGCCGGGCGCGGTGGCGGGCGCCTGTAGTCCCAGCTACTCGGGAGGCTGAGGCAGGAGAATGGCGTGAACCCGGGAAGCGGAGCTTGCAGTGAGCCGAGATTGCGCCACTGCAGTCCGCAGTCCGGCCTGGGCGACAGAGCGAGACTCCGTCTCAAAAAAAAAAAAAAAAAAAGCAAGTCCGAGTCAGTGCACTCTCTCTCTAGCTCTGTTTCTCACCCTCTCCCTTCTTTTAATCAAAAACAGTACCTGTAACTTATTTGAAGAATTTTGAAAGCTTATATAGAAAACTAATAAGAAAGCTTATATATAAAACTATACCCACCATTTAATAGGATTTTATAAATGTTATGCTTCATAAGAATATTATTTAACAGAGGCATTGAAGATATTTAAGCATGGGAATAATATGATAGAAACTGTTTTTGTGGGGAAGATTATTTTTAATCCTTAAGACATGGAAGAATTTTCAAAATTTGAGAAGTGTTTATTTTTTATTAACTTTAGTATTAGAGTGTAATTTTTTTATTTCAATTTTTACAGAAAAAGTTTTTTTCCACTGATGTTGATTTTCGAAGACAGAAACCAAATTTGTAAGTGTAGATGTAGATGTTTCCTGATTACTCAAAAATTGTTCAGTGGCTTTCTCTTAAACTGTTCTAAACAACACACAATTACTGTGCTTTGCAATCCTTTGTTTCCCAAAGGGAACAACTCTTCAAAACCTGAATGCAAAGAATGTGCTAAATAAGCCTCCAGTGATCAAATAAGGCATCTCTGCAAGAAACATTTGAAAATAAAAATATCCTTCTGTATTATCTATGCCACAAATTGGGCTGTTTCTTTAATGCATGCCTGTGGACTTCATTTAAAAGAATATATGATTCCACAAAAAAGATTTGAGGGGGAGTTTTATGGATGAAAAAGAAAGATTAAAATTAACTTCATTGTCCCCTTCTCCACTAATAACACTTATTGGATGAAAACGGGAGAAGGAGGTATCTTTTGACGTCAAGATCTATACACAATTACTTGGTGCATTTTGTTGTTTTATTCAAGACTATTTTCAATATAAATTTTTTTCCCCTTTGCCTCAAAGTTCTTGCCAAATTGCTGCTACCTGTTAAGGCAAGTGGGGACTGCTACTGAGTAATTTGTACCAGCCTGTAGACATGGAGAGTACTTCAAAAGCATACCAAGTTGGTACACTGAACAAATATTTTTTATGAAAATATTTTATTTTTTGACTTTGAGTTTGAACAAGAAACTAAAGGCAATTAAACTCAGTAAGGTCTTAGAAAACTTTAAATTTAACATTTCATCACTTAAAAGAAACAAAGCCAGTTCTTTTTTCTTATGTGGTCAATTAAGAAATAATGAAATTAGAATAATGAGAAAGCTATGCTCATATATTCTAAAACCAGTCGGCTGTGTTCAATGTTATGATTGAATTACCCCTACATTATTTTGTGGAATCTCAAAAGACTAGCCTGGCATATTTAAAAATAAAAGAAGAATTTACCTTTGGGTTAAACATAACAATGTATATTATATGTCTAATTACATTTATATAGTTACACAAGACATAGATATATATGACACAAATATACATATATTTATATACATAGATACATTTGATGATTTATAAAAACAATGATTGGTTTATATAAGCTAAAATGTTCTAACGAGACCAAATTACTGAATTTGCTTTAGAAACTTATTTTCATGAAATCTACAATGTTCAAACTCTTAACATTATAAAATATGCAGCTCTCCTTGTAGGAGGTGTCGTGATAAAAGCAGATCATTTGACAAAGCAAGTTGTTAATTCCTTGTTGATGCTATCAAATGTTACAACATTAAATGTGTGACCAGGAGTGAAGTCTTCATACCCCCCCACCAATATTTTGCTTTTATTTTTTCAACTTTTATTTTAGATTCAGGGGGTATATATGCAAGTTTGTTACCTGTGTATATGACATGATGCTGAGGTTTGGGATACAAATGATCCCATCACACAGGTACTGAGCATAGTATCCAACATTTAGTTTTTCAACCTTTTCCCCGATTCCTTTCCCCATCTAGTGGTTCCCAGTGTCTATTATTGCCATCTTTATGTCCATGAGTACCCAATGTTTAGTTCTCACTTATTAGTGAGAACATGTGGTATTTAGTTTTCTGTTCCTGCATTAATTTACTTAGGACAGTGGCTTCTAGCTGCATCCATGTTGCTGGAAAGGACATGACTTGGTTCTTTTTTGTGAATCTATAGTATTCCATGGTGTACAGATACCACATTTTCTTTATGCAATCCACCACTGATGGGCACCTGGTATGATTCTATTTCTTTGCCATTGTGAATAGTGCTGCGATGAACATGCAAGTGCACATGTCTTTTTGGTAGAATGTTCTGCTTTCTTTTGGCTATATAGCCAGTAATGGGATTGCTGGATTAAATGGTTGTCCTGTTTTAAGTTCTTTGAGAAGTCCTCAAACTGCTGTCCACAATGGCTGAATTTACATTTCCACCAACAGTGTATAATGTTCCCTTTTATCTGCAGCCTTGCCAGCATCTGTTGTTTTCTGACTTTTTAATCATAGCCTAGTGTGAGATAGTATCTCATTGAGATTTTGATTTACATTTCCCTGATTAGTGATGTGCAGCATTTTTCATGGGTTTGTTGGCCAATTGCACGTCTTATTTTTAAAAATGTCACTTCATGTCTTCTGCCCATTTTTTAATAAGGTTATTTGTTTTTTGCTAGTTCATTAAGTTCCTTATAGATTCTAGCTATTAGACCTCCCTGGGATGCATAGTTTGCAAATATTTCTCCTATTCTATAGGTTGTCCATTTACTCTTTTGACAGTTTCTTTTGCTATGCAGCTCTTTAATTAGGTCCCACTTGTTAATTTTTGTTTTTGTTACAGCTGCTTTTGAGGACTTAATCATAAATTCTTTGCCAAGATTGATGTCCAGAATGGTGTTTCCTAGGTTTTCTCCTAGGATTCTTATAGTTTGAGGTCCTACATTTAAATTTTTAATCTAACTTGAGTTAATTTTTGTATATGGTGAAATGTAGGGGTCCAGTTTCATTCTTCTACATATGGGCTAGCCAGCTTTCCCAGCACCGTTTATTGAGTAGGGAGTCCTTTCTCCATTGCTTATTTTTGTCAACTTTGTGGAAGATCAGAAGGCTGTAGATGTGCAGCTTTATTTCTGGACTGCCTATTCTGTTCCATTGGTCCATATGTCTGTTTTTAAACCAGTACCATGCTGCTTGGGTTATTGCAGCCTAATAGTATAGTTTAAGTCACTTAGTGTGATGCTTCCGGCTTCATTCTTTTTGCTTAGAATTGCTTTGGTCATTTGGGCTCTTTTTTAATTCTATGGGCATTTTAGTACACTTTTTCCAATTCTGTGAAAAATGACATTGGTGGTTTGGTAGAAATAGTGTTCAATCTATAGATTGCTTTCAACAGTATGGTCATTTTAATGACATTGATGTTCCAATCCATGTGTATGGAATGTTTTTCTATTTATTTGTGTCATCTATGATTTCTTTTAGCAGTGTAGTTCTCCTTGTAGAGGTGTTTCAATTCCTTGGTTAGATATATTCCTAGGTGTTTTACTTTTTTGTGCTATTGCAAATGGGATTGCATTCTTGATTTGGCTGGAATATTATTGATGCATTGAAATGCTGATTTTTGTACACTGAGTTTGTATCCTGAAACTTCACTGAAGTCATTTGTCAGTTACAGGAGCCTTTGGGAAGAGTCTGTAGGTTTCTGTAGGTATAGAATCATATTGCCTGTGAAGACAGTTTGACTTCTTTCTCTAGATGGATGCCTTTTATTTCTTTATCTTGCCTGATTTCTCTGGCTGTTCCTTCCAGAAATATGTTGAATAAGAGTCATGAGAGTGGCCATCCTTTTCTTATTCCAGTTCTCAAGGGAAATGCTTCCAGTTTTTGCCTGTTCAGCGTGACGTTGGCTGTTCGTCATAGGTGACTCATTATTTTGAGGTATTTTCTTTCAATGCCTAGTTTGTTGATGGTTTTTAATCATGAAGCGATCTTAGATTTTATCAAAAGCTTTTTTTTTCATCTATTGAGATGATCATATGGTTTTTCTTCCCAAAACCATTTTTGAAAGAGATAAATTAAAATGTAGAGGTAAGGAGCATTATGTGGGGAGTTCCATTTAATTTAGTTTGATTCTTTTTTAAGAAAACATTCACTGCATACAAATATCAGGTACTAGTGTCAGGTAGTACATATATAAAAAGACATTTACTTCCCTTGATAGTCATGGGATGGCTGATTGGCTGGTAGTAAATGGACAATACTGAGCTAAATGTAAAATGATCACCAAAGCAAATGGCTATTTAAGAGTTAAGGTGAGAAAGAAAAGAAAAAAAGAACTTGAAAGTCAATGGAATTTGCCAAGCTTTTTTATTCAAAGAAACATTTTACCTTGAATGTGCTTTCATTCAAGTGGCAGTATGAATAGATATAGATGTGCAGTTTATTTGGGCTTTCATAACAGATATGTGTAATATATATGATATTATATTCAAGAATACATATATTCAGGAATAGTCTTAAGGTCAAAATTTCTTGCTTTCATGAAGAGCTTTAGATATTAAGTATAAAACAACATAGAAAAAGCTATGTTTTGTTTTTCTTTGCTTTGCTTTTTGTTCTTCCTCCAGAGGAATGTATTTAAAATAAAAAATAACTAAGATATGTTTTCCTACAATAGAGAAACTCTATCTTTAAAATTCAGGAAAAAAAAAAGTCTGACCGAACAGCACATCAGGGCTTCAAGTCCCACTGCAGTTTTTCTCTGACTGATATTCACAATCCCTAAATTACAGAGGAATTGAAAATAGCAGAGGCAAACTTAACAATTCAGTAGTCAAAACCAAGTTGCTTTGTCATCAAAATAAAATAAAATGTATCGGCAATCTTACACATAAACAACAAAAATCCTTACTCCTGGTGAGGTTTACCAGAGTTGATCTGGAATTGTACAATGCATATAAAATTACCCCATTTGTTCAGTTAGGATTTTACTCTAACAAACAACAACTTTTATCTGTTTACCCTAGGCCATTCAAGGGATATATATTTGTATTTGTAATTCACACATATATATGTTATTTATTTTCTCAGAAACTCACAAAGGGTGCAATGGAGAAATTAATATTCACTTATATGTCATATTAAACTTGCCAACATAAGTCATGAATGTCCTCTCTGATATGCCTAAGACCCTGCCTCACTCCTAAGGCGAGCTCTTTTGTTAGTTCATGTGTCCAGGACTCAGGACAGTGCCCACAGTTAGAAGATGCATATTATATGTGTTGAGTGGATCAATTGAACGAATGGGAACAATTCTAATGCTGTTCTTAAGCTTTACATTTTACTAAAGTTCAAACTAAGAGACAAGTCCGGACTTTGCAGAGGGGGCACTAAAGATTTGGAAACATTTAAAAATATTGAAAAATCACAGAGAAAATTTTTCATTGAAATTGATTCCTGTGCTCTGCAGGAATTACTAATCGAGATCACTAATCGAATTACTCATCGAGATTGCTATTCTTGATTTAGTAAGACTGAGGATGCAGTGGGCATGTGTGCATTTTTAACAATAGCCCCAGGTGATTTTAAGGTCATTTTCAAGGGGACCAAAACCAAATATTTGTACAAAAGAGCTATAATGTACCATTCATCATCTTCATGAAGAACAGAGTAGATGTCAGAGTCACTGAAATTAAATACATGTGCCTTATCAGATTTTGACTGTGTGTGTATGTTTAACAGCATGAATTTAAGTTACTCTAAGCTGTTATGTTTAAAATAAATTTTAATAGTTAAGAGAAAAATTCAGGCCTTAGAACAAAATGTAAGGCTTATATTTTCTAGGAACTGACAGTTGTCCTGTACTACTAAGTTGGAAACTCAAACTAGCAGAGAAGTGGGCGTTGTAAATCAAAAGCCTGAATTGACCTGCATTGTATCTTTAAAAAGACAACATACATAAGAAGACTGGGATACTCAGGATCATTTTGTACAAATTGCTCCTAAGAATCCAGCTTTGAGAAAAGAGATGAAAACTGTTTAACTATATTATGTCTAGGGAGACTTGATAATAAGAGAATACAGAAAAAGGAAGCTATAAGCATCTTCGAAATGCCTGGAAATTCTACTTTTACATTAAATTGGCATTAAAATTTTATTTTTATTTCTATAAGCTATGTATTATTTTACTACTTATGTTGTTTAATTTAGTTTTTAAATTTTTAATATACTCACACATATAAAATGCAATTAATAAAGGATTTGTAGGGGAAAAAAAACCCTCACCATTCCCAATTTGCAGTCCTGCAACCTAAAGGAAATCTATTTAATTATTTTAATTATTTATTATTTATATCTGATGATTATATTCACATTTCTAAATTATGTTTTATCACTTTTTATTTATTCTTGATTTTTACACTAGTAACTCACATTATTATTATAGTAAGTATTTAGTTCACACTGCCTAATATAGCATTATTATTTAAATAATAAACATTTACCTTTATATATTGTCCATCACGTGGGCATGTTCTGAAGCCTTTCTCTATGAAATGAGAAAATATCTTTCCCCAGCTCTCCTTCTTCTACCTCCAAAAGTCTTACTTTCACTTTGTTAAAATAAATGCGAAGCCATTTAATTCTTCTGCATCCATTATTAAATCTGCCAATGGATTGATTTTAAAAGTGAAACATCTGTAAGCAGTGTTTGTATTATATAATTTAATATTATTTACCAATTGGTACACTGGGTTGTACTCTCCCTGGAATTACTTATTGCCAGTCTTTTATCTGTCCCATAACTTGCATTTGTTTTCCTCACTTTTTTCAGTTTTTAAAATTATTTATACATCAAGTTCTCTTTTTCCTGGACACGTCTCTCTTAGATATCTCTTTCCAGAATTTTCCTTTGGCCTACTTTAACCTGGCTAATCACACTCAAGATCAGCTGCACTCATTTCTGTCACTACCATTTTGGACTCAGTGCTTCTTCTTTCTTGGTTTATGCCATCATCTGCCACCAGCAGATCTTTGAGTAATATTCTGTGTGGGTTTTTGGAGATACTTCCTGAGTTCTTGAATACTTTTTCTGCCCTCAGGGTTCATAGTTTCAGTATAGAATTCAAAGTTGAAAATACATCTAAGAATTCTGAAGACATGTCTTGTTGTATTCCGTGTTCCAGAGTTGTCAATGAAATGCCAAATTCTTGTTCCTTTGAAGACATTTTTGTTTCTTCTTCCAAGTTGTTAGGATCTCAAGTATGTATTGAGAACCAGCAGGTGCCCTGGTTTATTTATTGGAATCACATCCTAGAAGAAAACATAGAAATTATAAAGATATAAGCCTGAGCCAACCTGATATCTGCGAGCATAATAAAAGTGAGAATTTCATAAATATATGTCTTTTTACAGTCTCCTTACACAATACTTGTTGGACCTTTTAATTAGAAAACTTTTTTATCCCTCCAGTACTGGAAGATGTCCTGAGTTTTTATTAAATACATTGCAAATTCTCTATAGGTTTTCTCTTCGTAGAAATTCTGTTAGTTATGATTAGACAGCCTGATAGCATATAGAGCAGGGGTTCCCAACACCTGGACTGTGGACTAGTACAAGTCTACGGCCTGTTAGGAACTGGGCCACACAGCAGGAGGTGAGCAGCAGACAGGCGACTGGAGCTTCATCCGTATTTACAGTCACTCCCCACCAGTGGCTTTACTGTCTGAGCTCCACCTCCTGTCAGATCTCCTGCAGCATTAGATTCTCATAGGAATGGGAACCCTATTGTGATCTGCGCATGTGACGGATCTAGGTTGCACGCTCCTTATGAGAATCTAATAACTGATGATCTGTCACTGTCTCCCATCACCCCTAGATGGGAGCAACTAGTTGCAAGAAAACAAGCTCAGGGCTCCCACTGAGTCTGCCTGATGGTGCGTTGTATAATTATTTCACTATAAATTACAATGTAATAATAATAGAAACAAAGTGCACAAAAAAAGTACTGTGCTTGAATCATCCTGAAACCATCCCCCATCCCCATCATGCAAGGAAAAATTGTCTTTCTGGTGCCAGAAATGTTGGGGACCACTGATATTGTTAAAAGTTTCACAACACTATTTGTCAAAATAATATTCTTGGATTACATCCATCACAATCATTTTGGGTTCTTAAGTATGACATTTTCTGAGCTCTATATCTGACTTCATGAGTAAGAATCCCTGCTGGTGGGATCCAAGGAACTGCCATTTAAATGTGCATTCTGGATAATTCTTATGTAAACTTACACTGTGTGGTCACATAGGCAAGTTACTAACTCCCCTGAGGCTATGTTTCCTAAAGAATAAAATCAAATAATAATAGTCCTTACTTTAGAGGGTTGTTACAAAGATTAAAGAGTTAATATTTGCAAAAGACTTAGAGCGGTGCCTGATATATATATAATCATAACTTAAGTGTTACATTTGTCACAATATAGTAAAAACCCCAAATCACATCAACATGTAGGTAGATATTTCATTAGATTTTCTATTCTCAGCAATTACCTTCATATACACACAATCACAAAAAGATACATAAGCAGACACAGATTGACTAACATGGAAAATGAGTCTCTTCTTTTGATTTTAAGTGTATGTGGCCAAACTTCTTCAAAGCTCATTTAAATATTTCTCTTTTAATACTTTAATTTAACTTGATGTTCAAGGAGCATATGCAATGTTTACCTTTCTGTAGTCTGTATACAAGAAGTGTGGAGTTACCAACAGTCCTCTTATAATCTATTACACAGTGGCCTCTCTAGCCCCATCCTGTGTCACTTGCCCACTCTTGGCCAGGCAGGCCTACTGAACTACCTGCAAAACTCACCTGTACCACATTCTTGAACCTCTGGATCATTAAACTGCCTCTATCTATAAAGTCCCTCCCTTACTAAAACTCCTCTCACTGTCACTTTAAATTCTGATCAGTTAAAAAGATCAGCCTGATTTCTGAAAACTGATTCTTGAATTCACATCAGTTAACACCTGCCCCCTGGTGAAGATTATTTACATGGGGGTCTTCCTCTTTTGTCAATGAATCCCTAGCAGTAGGAATGCTACCTGGTGTGTACTTTACCAATGTTTATTGAATTAATAACAATGCAAACCATACAAACATTTTAAATGCTTACTAAAAAGTGTGAGCATTTTCTTTTACTAAAATATAACATTTTAATATCAGAAATTGGGTAGAAAAATAAGAACTTCCAGGGTGACTCTTACAGAGGTACAGAAATGATGTCTGAAAAAGGAATATGATGCACATGACTAGAAAGGTAAAGAAAGAGGTGGCTGACATATCAGAGAAATTTGGGCTGATAAACCAATAAAGCCTTAATGAATATCAACTGCACACAATCCATGGCTGCTTTCACAACCAGAATTATAACAACGTATCCCATTGCCTTGATTAAAATATACAAGTTATTTAAAACTAAAATAGCTTAATTATTTAGTAAAGGCATAATAAATTAAATAATACCCATCCTCACATGATAGATACTAGACAAGCTTGTGTCTCAGTGTGCACATTTCTGTTGTCTTAATTAGACAGTATATGATTTATCAGGAAGCATGTTCAGTGTTACGAATAGCACCTTATCTACTGTGCATTTCATCTGCCATTTGTCCATTATCTTTTGGTGATAGCACAATATCTACCTATGATACCTGCATGCTAGTAATTTATTTTTAATATCTTTCAGCTGGTTTGGCTGGAACTTAAAAATAGATAATAACAGCATTGAGTCTTACAACAATATAATTTCTCCCTCTTTATTAGACACAAAATGACTACCTTCTGTGACATAGAAAAATAGTGAAAAGAATTTTCTAAGAGACTTAAACATATTAGGAAAAGTCATTCAGCAAATCATTACATTGTGAGTGCTAAATCTGTCAGCTAATTGTTTAATGAATGAGTAACTTATTATTTCATCCTTCTAAGCAGAGTATCATTTTAATCCTTTTTTTCAAGTAAATAAAATATTAAGTAGCATTAATTTTCTTAAAAACTGAAATTAATGACTTTTAACTCTCCTAGGTCTTTTAACCATTTTGGTAGTTTTTCTAATACTGTCTATAATGGCTAGGGCTAATCAGAAAGAAAAAGTAGTAAAATAAGTAGACATTGTTAGGTTCAGCTATTAACTATGTTTGTAAGTGAAGCCAGGGTGTAATATTTGGGGATTATTTTGTGTGTATTGTGAATAAAAGTGAAACATATTTAATCAGAAGTGTATGCATTGATCTGCTAGGTATAGGAGCATGATAGTAGGCTCTCTGCATCGTTTTACCTATGTCCTTGAAACAAAATGTGACTGTGGCCAAATGCAATGACAGCTTGAGGATTTTGCTGCTGCCAACATCTGAGATTGACACTACTTCAGAGGATGGGTCCAGTTTTGAACAGTGGTAGATCTTTGGTAAGAGAAATGGCAAATAAATTGATTTGTCCAATCCTTTCTCTCAGTAGGATGGAAAAGTCTTTCTTTCTTTCTTTCTCTTTCTTTCTTTCTTTCTTTCTTTCTTTCTTTCTTTCTTTCTTTCTTTCTTTCTTTCTTTCTTTCTTTTCTTTCTTTCTTTCTTTCTTTGTTTTCTTTCTTTTTCTTTCTTTCTTTTCTTTCTTCTTCTTTCTTCTTTCTTTCTCTTTCTTTTTTTATTATACTTGAAGTTCTGGGACACATGTGCAAAACATGCAGGTTTGTTACGTGTACATGTGTATACGTGTGCCATGGTGGATTTGCTGCACGCATCAACCCATCATCTACATTAGGTATTTCTCCTAATGCTATCCCTCCCCTAGTCCCCCACTCCCGACAGGCCCCAGTGTGTGATGTTCCTTTCCCTGTGCCCATATGTTCTCATCGTTCAACTCCCACTTATGAGTGGGAACATGAGGTGTTCGGTTTTCTGTTCCTGTGTTAGTTTGCTGAGAATGCTGGTTTCCAGCTTCATCCATGTCCCTTCAAAGGGTGTGAACTCATTCTTTTTTATGGCTGCACAGTATTCCATGATGTATATGTGCCACATTTTCTTTATCCAGTCTAACACTGATGGGCATTTGGGTTGACTCCAAATCTTTGCTATTGTGAATAGTGCCACAATAAACATATGTGTGCATGTGTCTTTATAGCAGCATGATTTATAATTCTTTGGGTATATACCCAGTAATGGGATTGCTGGGTCAAATGGTATTTCTAGTTCTAGATCCTTGAGGAGTCGCCACACTGTCTTCCACAACGGTTGAACTAATTTACACTCCCGCTAACAGTGTAAAAGCATTCCTATTTCTCCACATCCTCTCCAGCATCTGCTGTTTCCTGACTTTTTAATGATCGCCATTCTAACTGGCGTGAGATGGTATCTCATTGTGTTTTTGATTTGCATTTCTCTAATGATCAGTGATGATGAGCTTATTTTCATACGTTTGTTAGCCGCATAAAAGTCTTCTTTTGAAAAGCATCTGTTCATATCCTTTGCCCACTTTTTGATGGGGTTGTTTTTTCTTGTAAATTTGGTTAAGTTCCTTGTAGATTCTGGATATTAGCCCTTTGTCAAATGGATAGATTGCAAAAATTTTCTCCCATTCTGTAGGATGCCTGTTCACTCTGATGATAGTTTCTTTTGCTGTGTGGAAGCTCTTTAGTTTAATTAGATCCCATTTGTCAATTTTGGCTTTTGTTGCAATTGCTTTTGGTACTTTAGTCATGAAGTCTCTGCCCATGCCTATGTCCTGAATGGCATTGCCTACATTTTCTTCTAGGGTTTTTATGGTTTTAGGTCTTACGTTTAAATCTTTAAACCATCTTGAGTTAATTTTTGTACAAGGTGTAAGGAAGGGGTCCAGTTTCAGTTTTTTGCATATGGCTAGCCAGTTTTCCCAACACCCTTTATTAAATAGGGAATCCTTTCCCTACTGCTTGTTTTTGTCAGGTTCATCACAGATCAGGTGGTTGTAGATGTGTGGTGTTATTTCTGAGGGCTCTGTTCTGTTCCATTGCTCTATATATCTGTTTTGGTATCAGTACCATACTGTTTTGGTTACTGTAGCCTTGCATGGTTTGAAGTCAGGTAGCGTGATGCCTCCAGCTTTGTTCTTTTTACTTATGATTGTGTTCAATATGTGAGCTCTTTTTTGGTTCCATATGAAATTTATAATAGTTTTTTTTTCTAATTTGGGGAAGAAAGTCAGTGGTAGCTTGATGGGGATGGCATTGAATCTATAAATTACTTTGGGGAGTATGGCCATTTTCACAATATTGATTCTTCCTATCCATGAGCATGGAATGTTTTTCCATTTGTTTGTGTCCTCTCTTTTTCCTTGAGCAGCAGTTTGTAGTTCTCCTTGAATAGGTCCTTCACATCCCTTGTAAGTTGTATTCCTAGGTATTTCATTCTCTTTGTAGCAATTGTGAATGGGAGTTTGCTTATCATTTGGCTCTCTATTATTGGTGTATAGAAATGCTTGTGATTTTTCACATTGATTTTGTATTCTGAGACTTTGCTGAAGTTGCTCATCAGCTTAAGGAGTTTTTGAGCTAAGAGGATGGGGTTTTTTACATACACAATCATGTCATCTGCAAACAGAGACATTTTGACTTCCTCTCTTCCTATTTGAATACACTTTATTTCTTTCTCTTGCCTGATTGCCCTGGCCAGAATTTCCAATACTATGATGAACAGGAGTGGTGAGAGAGGGCATCCTTGTCTTTTGCCCGTTTTCAAAGGGAATGGTTCCAGTTTTTGCCCATTCAGTATTATATTGCCTGTGGGTTTGTCATAAATAGCTCTTATTATTTTGAAATATGTTCCATCAATACCTAGTTTATAGAGTGTTTTTAGCATAAAGCAGTGTTGAATTTTATCAAAGGTCTTTTCTGCCTCTATTGAGATAATCACGTGGTTTTTGTCATTGGTTCTGTTTATGTGATGGATTACGTTTATTGATTTGTGTATGTTGAACCAGACTTGCATCCCAGGAATGAAGCCCACTTGATCATGGTGGATAAGTTTTTTAAAGTTCTGCTGGATTCGGTTTCCCAGTATTTTCTTGAGGATTTTTGCATCGATGTTCATCAGGGATATTGGCCTGAAATTTTCTTTTTTTCCTCTGTCTCTGCCAGGTTTTGGTATCAGGATGATGCTGGCCTCATAAAATGAGATAGAGAGGATTCTCTCTTTTTCTATTGTTTGGAATAGTTTCAGAAGGAATGATACCAGCTGCTCTTTGTACCTCTGGTAGAATTCAGTTGTGAATCTATCTGATCCTGGGCTGTTTTTAGTTGGTAGTCTATTAATTACTGCCTCAATTTCATAACCTGTTATTGGTCTATTCAGGGATTGGCCTTTTCCTGGTTTAGTCTTGGGAGAGTGTATGTGTACATAATTTATCCATTTTTTCTAGATTTTCTAGTTTATTTGCATATAAGTGTTTGTAATATTCTCTGATGGTAGTGTGTATTTCTGTGGGATCAGTGGTGATCTCCCCTTTATCATTTTTTATTGTCTATTTAATTCTTCTCTCTTTTCTTCTTTAGTAATCTGGCTAGCAGTCTATCTATTTTGTTAATGGTTTCAAAAAACCAGCTCCTGGATTCATTGATTTTTTGAAGTGTTTCTTGTGTCTCTATCTCCTTCAGTTCTGCTCTGATCTTAGTTATTTCTTGTTTTCTAACAGCTTTTGAATTTGTTTGCTCTTTCTTCTGTAGTTTAAGTGTGATGTTACAGTGTCGATTTTTAGATCTTTCCCCCTTTCTCCTGTGGGCATTCAGTGTTATAAATTTCCCTCTAAACACTGCTTTAGCTGTGTCCCAGAAATTCTGGTGTGTTGTGTTTTTGTTCTCATTGGTTTCAAAGAACTTATTTATTTCTGCCTTAATTTCATTATTTACCCAGTAGTCATTCAGGAGGAAGTTGTTCAGTTTCCACGTAGTTGTGCGGTTTTGAGTGAGTTTCTTAATCCTGAGTTCTAATTTGATTGCACTGTGGTCTAAGAGACTATTTGTTTTGATTTCCATTCTTTTGCATCTGCTGAGGAGTGTTTTACTTTCAATTATGTGGTTGATTTTAGACTAAGTGCTATGTGGTGCTGAGAAGAAAGTATATTCTGTTATTTTGGGGTGGAGATTTCCGTAGATGTCTATTAGGTCTGCTTGGTACAGAACTGAGTCTGAGTACTGAATATCCTTGTTAATTTTCTGTCTCATTGACCTGTCTAATATTGACAGTGGGGTGTTAAAGTCTCCCACAATTATTGTGTGGGAGTCTAAGTCTCTTTGTAGGTCTCTAAGAACTTGCTTTATGAATCTGGGTGTTCCTGTATTGGGTGCATATATATTTAGGATAGTTAGCTCTTCTTGTTGCATTGATCCCTTTACCATTATGTAATGCCATTCTTTGTCTTTTTTTTTTATTTTTGTTGGCTTAAAGTCTGTTTTATCAGAGACTACAATTGCAACTTTTTTTTTTTTTTTTGCTTTCCATTTACTTGGTGAATCTTCCTCCATCCCTTTATTTTGAGCCTATGTGTGTCTTTGCACATGAGATGGGTCTCCTGAATATAGCACACCGACGTGTCTTGACTCTTTATCCAATTTGCCAGTCTGTACCTTTTAACTGGGGCATATAGCCTGTTTACATTTAAAGTTAATATTTTTATGTGTGAATTTGATCCTGTCATTATGATGCTAGCTGGTTATTTTGCCCATTAGTTGATGCAATTTCTTCATAGTGTAGATGGTCATTATATTTTGGTTTGTTTTTGTCGTGGCTGGTCCCAGTTTTTCCTTTCCATATTTAGTGCTTCCTTCAGGAGCTCTTGTAAGGCAGGTCTGGTGGTGACAAAGTCCCTCAGCATTTGCTTTTCTGTAGAGGATTTTATTTCTCCTTTGCTTATGAAGCTAAGTTTGGCTGGATATGAAATTCTGGGTTGAAAATTCTTTAAGAATGGTGAATATTGGCCCCCACTCTCTTCTGGCTTGTAGGGTTTCTGCAGAGTGATCTGCTCTTAGTCTGATGGGCTTCCCTTTGTGGGTAATCTGACCTCCCTCTGTGGCTGCCCTTAACATTTTCTCCTTCATTTCAACCTTGGTGAATCTGGTGATTATGTGTCATGGGGTTGTTCTTCTCAAGGGGTATCTTTGTGATGTTCTCTGTATTTCCAGAATATGAATGTTGGCCTGTCTGCTAGTTTGGGGAAGTTCTCCGGGATAATATCCTGAAGTGTGTTTTCCAACTTGGTTCCATTCTGCTTGTCACTTTCAGGTACACCAATCAAATGTAGGTTTGGTCTTTTCACATAGTCCCATGTTTCATGGAGGCTTTGTTCATTCCTTTTCATTCTTTTTTCTCTAATTTCGTCTTCATGCTTTATTTCATTAAGTCGATCTTCAATCTCTGATATCCTTTCTTCTGCTTGATCGATGCAGCTGTTGATAGTTGCATATGCTTCACAAAGTTCTTGTGCTGTGTTTTTCAGTTCCATCGGGTCATTTATGTTCTTCTCTAAACTGGTTATTCTAGTTAGCAATTCCTCTAACCTTTTATCCAGGTTCTTAGCTTCCTTGCATTGGGTTAGAACATGCTCCTTAAGCTCAGAGGAGTTTGTTATTACCCACCTTCTGAAGCTTTCTTCTGCCAATTCGTCAAACTCATTCTCAGTCCAGTTTTGTTCCCTTGCTGGTGAGGAGTTGTGTTCCTTTGGAGGAGAAGTTGTACTCTGGTTTATGGAATTTTCAGCCTTTTGCACTGGTTTTTCCTCATCTTCGTAGATTTATCTACCTTTGGGCTTTGCTGTTAGTGACCTTCGGCTGGAGTTTTTGTATAGTCATCCTTTTTGTTGATGTTTTTGCTATTGCTTTTTGTTTGTTAGTTTTCCTTCTAACAGTCAGGCCCGTCTTTTGCATGTCTGCTGGAGTTTGCTGGGTGTCCACTCCAGATCCTGTTTGCTTGGGTATCACCAGCAGAGGCTGCAGAACAGCAAAGATTGCTGCCTGCTCCTTCCTCTGGAAGCTTCATCCCAGAGGGGCACCCGCCAGGTGCCAGGTGGAGCTTCCCTGTATGAGGTGTCTGTCAACCCCTGCAGGGAGGTGTCTCCCAGTCAGGAGGCATGGGGGTCAGGGACCTACTTGAAGAGACAGTCTGTGCCTTAGCAGAGCCTGATTGCTGTGCTTGGAGATCTGCTCCTCTCTTCAGAGCTGGCAGGCAGGAACATTTAAGTCGGCTGAAGCTGTGCCCACAGCCACTCCTTCCCCCAGGTGTTCTGTCCCAGGGAGATGGAAGTTTTATCTATAATCCCCTGACTCGGGCTGGCTGCCTTTCTTTCAGAGATGCCCTGCCCAGAGAGGAGGAAGCTAGAGAGGCAGTCTGGCTATAGCGGCTTTGTGGCACTGTGGTGGGCTCCTCCCAGTTCGACCTTCCTGGTGGCTTTGTTTACACTGTGAGGGGAAAACTGTCTACTGAAGCCTCAGTAATGGTGGATGCCCCTCCCCACACCAAGCTCCAGTGTCCCAGGTCAACTTCAGACTGCTGTGCTGACCGCGAGAATTGCATGCCAAGGGAACTTAGCTTGCTGGGCTCCATGGAGGTGGCATCTGCTGAGCAAGACCACTCGGCCCCCTGGCTTCAGCCACCTTTCAGGCAGGTGAACGGTTCTGTCTTGCTGATGTTCCAGACACCACTGGGGTACAGAAAAAAAAAAAAAAAAAAAAAACCTCCTGCAGCTAGCTCAGTGTCTGCCCAAAAGGCCGCCCACTTTTGTGCTTAAAACCCAGGACCCTTGTGGTATAGGCACCCAAAGGAATCTCCTGGTCTGTGGGTTGTGAGGACTGTGGGGAAAAGTATAGTATCTAGGCTGGATAGCACTGTCCCTCAAGGCTTCCCTTGGCTGGGGGAGGGAGTTCCCCAACCCCTTGCACTGCCTGGGTGAGGCGACACCCCACCATGCTTCTGCTTGCCCTCCATGGGCTGCACCCAATATCTAACCATCCCAATGAGATGAACTGGGTACCTCAGTTGGAAATGCAGAAATCACCTGCCTTCTGCATTGGTTTTGCTGGGAGCTGCAGACCAGAGCTCTTCCTATTCGGCCATCTTCTGGACTCAAGGAAATGTGTTCTTTCTTAGCAAAGTACTGTTTGCCTATATTGCCGACTAGGCATTATTTGTTTCTCTTCATCTTCTAACTTGTAGTTTTGGAGATTTTCAAGGTTTAGCATGGTATTCACAAGTGATGCACATGGGAAATAAAAAACAATTTTACAGTGTTATTTAAATCTTGAAACTTTGATTGCTTATAAATATGTCTAAATATAATATATAAGAATCATGTTCTTTATATTTCCTTATGGAACTAGATATCACTTCAAGAGATGATTAAGATTATAAGTGATAGTAATTTATGTAAATAAATTCAACAATTTTACAATATTTTTCTGTGATAATAATAATTTATCTTACAAATTTCCCTTACAATGTTTCAACTTGGTTTATTTGAAGTCTGAGTGTTGTTTTAAGAGATTTTTGACAGTTACTTTCTAATCATTCAAGAGAGAAATTTTGATAAGAAATCAATTTTAGGAAGTTATCTTGAAATTATGATGATTCAAGGAAGGTCTTGACTAGCATTAAGGTCAATTGGTATTAATGTTAATATAACCCGATTGTGAGAAAACCATGATTGTTACAATGTATTTGGTGGATTTGCTGAATTAAAAGCAAGAAAAATAATTTTAAGTAATAGAAATATAATTAGTAATTACATGTTTCTATTTTACTATGTATTCAAACATTGTTGTTTACCCATAGAATACCAAGATATGTGCAATAATTAAATTCTCTTACCTTTGATATTTTGCAAACTTTCATTAATATAAAAACCATAATTTTACATTATTTGATATTTTTAGTAAGGTCGTGTTTGTTGAAGTAGGGTGGTAGATCATATATGATGTAATATTACTAGCTTGACTTATAATATTTAGTTAGACCCATAATAAGTGAGCCCCAATTTGTACTCTTCACAACTGCTACAAAAATTAGGAGCAAACTGGTCTTACATTTAACTAATTGCTCACTTTCTATACCTCACTCAATCTACTTGCCCCTCCTCCCCCATGTTCTCTATCATAGAAAATCACACTGCTAATAATCTATTTGCTCTATCCTGGTTCTTTAATATTGAGGACCTCATCTAGTCTGAGACTCTTCAAAATTATTGTACCCTTCGATTAGAAAAAGCCGTACTAGTCATTCTTAATTGCTAATTCCAAATCACTTTGAGTTATACTTTTTACAAAGACCATCCCTACTTCATTCAATTTATTCACTTCTTTTGCAGCATGCTATTATTTTATTTTTGCAACAAATATTTAATTACTATTTTGATATTTGTCTTCTCTACAAGACTGTAAGCTTCTAAAGTAAGGTATGATATCTAAAATATTCATCACAGTTTTCTGTACACAGTGCAATGTCTACTTTATGATATGTATGTGTGTATTAAATTGAATTAAATTGATTTGAATGAAAAGTACCTGAGAGTAGGGCCAAGAGTAGAATGATTTCTCTGGAAGTTAATTCCATGATTTCAGTAAAATATGAAAAGCTATAATGAATAATAATAAAATAAGAAATAGAAACATAATTCAAGAAAAAAATGTTGCTAAGAGGAAAACCCCAATGCTACAGTCCATATGCCTGTACCAATAAAATCAGATCTCCATTCCAGTAAATGTCATTCGAGCATCTTAGCTTTATTTTAAATTTGCAAATGCTGTGGGACTACCTTTATGAGGAATACTTTTAAATCTGTCATTGTAACAGGTTTTCAGTAATTTAAATAATGAATGTTTGGACTCAAAATTGACTGCATTGAAAGATAAAAATAAAATGTGTCAGAAATTTGTACAATCATTGTATTTTTCATTATTTAATCACTCTAATTTATTCTGTGTCTTAGCATTTAAACAAAGGCTTGAGCTTTAGAAAGACATGAGAAAAGTTTCTGCAAGATTGAGTTGCTAAGAAAATAAATTATCTACTTCATATTTATTACCTAAAAATAAATGTTTCTAATTTAGCACATTCCCTAATGAGAACACTTCCCTTGACTTAGAAATGTAAGTTAGTTTGCTCTTATGAGGCTGACATATAAAGAAATGAATTAAAATCTCTCTGTAGAAATGGAATGTGGTAACAAGTTATGTTTATTGTTGCTGCAGTTTATCTTCTTATTAAAGGAATTATATCTGATATTCTAGTCATTCTCTCCTTAACACTCATTTGTCATATTTTAAAATGTTTTAAAGTGGTCATTAAAGCATCTATATTGCTTTTACAAAATTTAAATTTATAATAACACTACCCCGCTGATATACTGGTAGGCTACCTCAAATCAAAACCTTGTAAAAAATGTAATAAATACCAATTCTTCAGCAAGTATTAAAATTAGAAGGCTTACTAATGCTATTAGATTTGCATAATTTAAATCTAATCTAAAATAGAGTTACATTACACAGGAAAAAGTTTTAATAAGTGTTCAAAATATAAGTTAAACACTAAATTCACTATTTCAGTGTGTTTCTGATCTCTGATTTATTTGTGCTTTGATGATATGAAATACCTTTAGTTAGAATTGAGTTATTGGACAGGTTGCAGGATTGAAAATTATTTTAAGCTGTACGGAGAACTATATAAGACCTTTATATTTAACCCTGGCCTTTTAAAAACTGTATTTACATTCACGTGCGCATGTCCTGGGAACTGACACAGAAAGCAGATAAACTAGTTGATCATGAGCAGAATTGCCCTCACAAACATAATAGATGCAAGATGTCTCCTAAAGAGAAATGACAAACTATGAAAACTTTCCCCATTATATTTTTACAGAATTCTAATGCCACCAAATGATTTTTTGAATTTAGGTGGAAAAACTTCAATCAAGGGATTATCAAGCAATTATTTCTAAAAACACTGTTCTAAGGAAAGTGCAGAACAAGTATCCTTTCTCAATATTCCTTCTTCATCAATAATAAAAAATACAAGCTTCCAAAATGGTTCATGCAATAGACTCAAACACAAATAATTCACAAAACCTCAAGAAACATATATGTATGTTTTTTCACATACATACTTGTTATACATACTTAAATGTATGGATTATTCAGTACAGCTCATGCTCTATGGTGCTCAAGAACTACTTCTTGAAGGAATGTACAAATAAATGCAAAATATATATAGTATAAACACTATATATATATAGTATAAACACTATATATATGTAGTATAAACACTATATATATGTAGTATAAACACTATATATATATATACACACACACATATACATACAAAGCATTAACACCAACAATAGAATGTTAACTCCAAAATCATACTAGATTAACAAAAATCTACCAAGAAATATTAACTATTTGGACCTTTAAGTGTGAAAATTTATTTCAGTTAACCAATGAAAGAGTAGATTTACTCACGGGTAAATGGACCTATACACATTTATATTGTATATTATACATAGATATTAATTTGCATGGCATATAAAAATTTTAGCTGTTATTTATTGAATACTTGTATATATAGGGCACATAAAATATTCTACTTTTATTATTTCTTTATTCTGTGCCATGATTCTTTGAAGCAGATAGTAATTTTATAGATAATAAATTCACATATTAAATAGATTAAGCAATAAATAGGTTTGTCTCACAGAAGAGGCAGAACTAAAAACCAGGCATGTCAGTAGCTCAGGGACATGTTCTTAGTATGTATTTTACCTTGTAATTTTCCATCTCTCCATTAAATTAAAAATTAATTTTATTTATATAGATAAATATGATAAATACATTGATAGAGGGAGCCATGCTTTCTTGCTGAAGTGCCTTCATGGCATTAGTAATTCTAAAGAAATTAGCACTTAAATAACATCATATAATATTTGTAGGGAGAAATGAACCATGGTATAAATACAGTAGGAAAAGCATAGTGCCCCAAACTTCTGCTTATAAAATGTATGACATTATAATTAAAAAGTTTAAAATTATATAAACTATTAAAATATCTATATAGCACAACTGTGTAAGACAGCCAAAAATAAAATATTTCTATCAACATGTAGAGTGCATAACATGATTTTATTGTTGTCTTTTGGGGATGAGTTTTTCAAAAAGATATGAGATGTGATTTAACTAATTTTATTGTATTGATTTTTATATTGAAGTGATTACTTCCCTGTATGATATCATAAAATGAACATAGTTCTGTATCTTACTTTGGCAATTAATATTACCTAGGTAAGTTGTGATAATGTTCAGGACAATTTCTTCAAAGAGTATTGTCAATGTATTTTATTATATGATACTCATTATGTAAATTTGAATCCCCAGATCATTGATTCTCACAGTTTGATTTTAGCTTGTGTGAAGGCTACAAAAAATGTGTAAAATGTCTTGATCTTCTTTAAAGAAAGCATTGACTACCAAAATTTAAACACTAGGTAAGATCTAGATGCCCTACAAATTAAAAAGATAAGATCTATTGATCATTAAATTTTTTTCAAAATACAATTCAATTGATCTGTTTGCCTCATTTCTCGACTTTACTAATCTTACAAGAGATTATTAGCAATTTGTTTTTAGCATCAACCCCAATATTTTCTGTGAAACATGAATGCAAGTTTTGGGAAAATTCCACTATATTTTAGACAATACGTGGTAGCTTTTTGACTCAGTAGTTAGGAAAGAAACTTCATTTTGCAATAAATACCTATACTAACAACATATGCCTCAGGGACAAGTTCTTGATTATATGAATGAATTATTCTTTGACTTTCTGAAAGACAAGGAGAATGAAAGAAGACATTCAAAATTATTTTTCACTTTAATGTCTTACACTGGCATTTTTCTATCATTTCTTCAGGCATATTTTCTTTCACAATTGAGACTGGCTTCATATCCTTTGTCCCCTGTTAAGGATTTTAAACTTTTGAGCTTCATATTTTATTATAGAAAATTTAAACACGTGTGGAGTAAATTAAATAAGATAACAAATTCCTGTGTATTCTGCCCCCAATTGAAAATTGTATCTACATTCTACCATTCATCCCTGATATGGTTTGGCTGTGTCTCCACTCAAATCTCAAATTTTAGCTCCTATAATTCCCACGTGTAGTGGGAGGATTGGAGGTAATTGAATCAGGAGGGCAGGTCTTTCCTGTGCTGTTGTCATGATAGTAAATAAGTCTCACAAGAACTGATGGTTTTATAAAGGGGAGATCCCCTCCAAATGCTCTCTCTCTGTTGTCTGCTGCCATGTAAGACATGCCTTTGCTCCTCATTTGCTTTCAGCCATGATTGTGAGGCCTCCCAAGCCATGTGAAACTGTGAGTCCATTAAACCTCTTTCCTTTATAAAATTACCCAGTTTTGGGTTTATCTTTATTAGCTGTGTGAGAACAGACTAATACAATCCCACTCCCTAACATGGCAATGATAAGGATGATGATGTTTATGATGATGATTGAAGCAATTTTTGGAGGCAGCATTTACATACATTGAAATGTACTAATATTAAATGTACAAGTTTGCAAAATGAATTATCTTCCCCCTGAAAGGCACACTTCTATTATCTATCTTCCCAGAAATTTCCCTTGTATCCCTTCCCAGAAAATTTAGTCTTCCGAGGCAACCACCCTTCTAATTGTTTCAAATCAAACTATTATTGCCTGTTATGGGATGTCACATAAATGGAACTATATGGTATGTGTTCTTTAATGTCTGTCTTTTTTCTCTCAGCATTTTGTTTATGAGATTAATCTATGTTTATGTGTGTATCAGTGGTTAATTCCTTGTTATTAATGAGAGATATTTCATTCTATAAATACACAAAATGTATTTATTTTTTTCCTTTGTTGGAATTTGGGATGTTTCCAGTTTAGGGCTATATATAAAACTTATAAACATTCTTGGAAAAGTCTTTTTATGGAAATATGTTTTTATTTCTCTTTGTAGACACCCACAAGTGGAATTGTTGGGTCAAAAAATAGATGTATATTTAACTTATTATGAAACTGCCAAAACTTTTATTGAAATAATTATGCTATTTTATTTTTAATATGTGAGATACTGGTTTCTACAAATTTTCATTACCATTTATTGTTGTTAGTCTTTGTACTTTTAGCCATTCTGATAAAATTTATAATGAGTGGTATTTCATTGTGATTGTAATTTGCATTTTCTTAACTTTTTCTTGTGCTTTTTGGCCATTTTTATCTTCCTATAAGAAATGTTCATTTCTTTTTATTTACTTTTATTATACTATCATTGATTAAAGGAATTTCTAATATATATCCTGGATACAAGTCTTTTGTAGGATGTTTTGCAAACATATTCTTTCAGTTTTTACCTAACTTATTCACTTTTGTCTTAATGGTGGTTTCTGATGACTGGACATTTTAACTTTTAAAAATCTAATTTATTTTATTTTTTATGTTTCTGTGTCCTGTTTAAGAAATCTTCACTAAATTACAAAAAAAATTCTACATTTCCTTTTAAGAGCTTTATAATCTTAGTTTTTAAAAATATGTATCATTTATTTCAAACTAAGTTTTGCATATAGTAGAAGAGAATGTTCATTTTATTCATATGGAGATCCAGTGTTGAAGTTCTATTTATTTAAATAACTTGTCTTTTTCCCCTTGCATTGCTTTGGAGCCTTTATCAGCAACCAACTGACCATATAATTGTGGTGTTACTTCTGTAATCTCTATTCTGACATTGATAATGCTATAATTATGTCAATAACCATACTGTTTTTACTGTATATATTTAAGGTATATAACATGATGTTTTGACATACATATATATAAAGATTATTAGTACAGTCAAGCAAATTAACATATCCATCATCTTACATAATTACTTTTTGTGGGGCAGGAGCACCTAGAATCTACTCTCTTAAAAGTTTTCGGCCAGGTGTGGTGGCTCAAGCGTATAATCCCACCACTTTGGGAGGCCGAGGCGGGCGGATCATGAGGTCAGGAGATCGAGACCATCCTGGCTAACACTGTGAAACCCCGTTTCTACTAAAAATACAAAAAATTAGCTGGGCTTGGTGGCGGGAGCCTGTAGTCCCAGCTACTCGGGAGGCTGAGGCAGGAGAATGGCGTGAACCCGGGAGGCAGAGGTTGCAGTGAGCCGAGATCATACCACTGCACTCCAGCCTGGGCAACAGAGCCAGACTCTGTCTCAAAAAAAAAAAAAAAAAAAGCTTTCAGTATATAATATAATATTATTAACTATGTGACATTATAGTTAACTATATATGTTACATAAAGATACACTATTATTAACTATAGTCCTTATCAGATCTCTAGATTCATCCTACACAACTTTAAATTTATAACCTTTTTGACTTACATTTCAACAAGACCACCAAGAAGACGCAGTGAAGAAAGGGTAGACTCTTTAATAAACAATGTTGGGAAAACTGGATATTCACATGCAAAAGAATAAATGTCTTACATTATACACAAACATAAATTCAAAATAGGTTAAAGACATAAATGTAAGACCTGAAACCATAAAACTCTTAGAAGAAAACATAGGGAATAACCTCCTTGATACTGGCTTTGGCAATGAATTTTTGAACATCACACCAGAAGTTCAGGCAACAAATGCAAAAATAAACTAGTGGGACCTATATTAAGCCAAAAAGTGTATGTGCAGCAAAGGAAACAATTAACAAAATGGAAAGGCAACTCAGAATGGGAGAAAATATTTCCAAACCATATATCTGTTAAGGGGTTAATAGCCAAAATAGCAAACTAACAAAACTCACAAAACAATAGCAAAAGATCAAATAGCACAATTTAAAAATGGGCAAAGGACCTAAATAGATATTTTTCCAAAGAAGACATAAAAATGGCCAAAAAGTATATATGCAAAGGTGCTCAACATCACCAAATCATCAGGTACATGCAATTCAAGCCCATAATGAGATCTTATCTCACTCCTGTTAGGATGGCTATTATCAAAAAGAGAACAAAATAACACATTGGTGAGTGTGTGGAGAAAAGAAAACCCTTATATGCTGTTAGTGAAAATGTAAATTATTAGTACAGACTTTATGGAAAACACTATGGAGGTTCCTCAAAAAATTAAAAATAGAACTACCATATGACACAGCATTACTTCTGCTGGGTATATATCCAAAAAATTTTCAAACAGCACCTTGTGCAGAGAAGAGGGAAAGCTTATGCACTGTTGGTGGGAGTGTAAATTAGTTCAACCATTGTGGAAAGCAGTGTGGCAATTCCTCAGAAAACTAAAAACAGAACTACCATTTGACCCAGGAATCCTATTACTGGGTATATATCCAGAAAGATATAAAACATTCTACCACAAAGACACATTCATGTGAATGTTCATTGCAGCACTCTTCACAATAGCCAAGACGTGGAATCAACTTAAATGCCTATCAATGACAGGTTGAATAAAGAAAATGTGGTACATATATACCATAGAATACTATTCTATTTTATAGAATACTATAAAAAGGAATGAGAGATCATGTCTTTTGCAGGAACATGGATGGAGCTAGAGGACATTACCTTTAGCAAACTAATGCAGGTATAGAAAACCGAATATCACATGTTCTCACTTATAATCGGGAGCTCAATGATGAGAACTTATGGACACACAAAAGGAGAATAACAGACACTGGGGCCCACTTGAGAGTAGAAGGTGAGAGGAAGGAGAGAAGCAGAAAAACATAACTATTGAGTATTAGGCTTAGTACCTGGGTGACAAAATAATCTGTATAACAAACCCCTGTGACATGAGTTTACCCACATAACAAACCTGTAATGTACCCTTGAACCTAAAAAAAAGTTAAGAAATAGAAAAAATAAAATAAATCAGCAATTAATAGAGATTTCTGTGCTCCCATAATCACAATAGCCAAGTTTTTGAAATAACCTAAGTGTTCATAAAGGGATGTACAGTAAATTAATTGTGATGTGTAGGGGGGAGTGTAGAGTATAAATAGGATTATTATAGGTAATATCTAATGGAATGTTATTTAGTCTTTAAAAAACAGTGATTGCCATTTGTGACAACATGAATAAACCTGAAGAACATTACGCTGAGAGAAATAAGCCAAACAGAAAGAAAAATGCCACGTGATCTCACCTATATATGGGATGTAAAAAATGTCAACTGCAAAGAAAAAGAGTAGAATGGTGTTTACCAGGGGCAGGGAGAGGGACAATACCATATTGTCTTGATTACTCAATTATTGAGTCTTAACTCAAGAAATGTGAGTCATCCAGCTTTGTTCTTTTTCAAGATCAATTTTGCTATTCTAACCCCTTGTCGTTTCAAAAAAAAATTTTTTTAATCAATTTATCAATTTCTACATTTATGTTGTTTATGGTAGAGATTACTTGAATCAGTGAATTAATTTGGAAAGAACTTATCTCTTAAATATATTGGGTCTTGCCCACCATGAAAATGGCATATTTTTCTCTATATTTAGATTTCTTTTTTTAATGTCTCTTAGCAATGTTTTACAGGTTTTGGTTTAAAGGTTTTACACATCTTATGTAACATTCATTGCTTAGTAAGTTGTGAATTTAATGTTATTACATTTTTTCATGTTCCAGTTGTTTACCTCCAGTATATAGAAATACAATTATTTTATACATTCACTTTGTGTCTTGAGACCTTGCTAAATTCATTTATTAATTCTAAAAATTGTAGCTGATTCTATATAATTCCCATGTCTCAATCTTATCATATGTGATAGAGATAATTTTATTTCTTTTAAATTTGTATGTGTCTTATTTATTTTTATTTTTCACTATTCCTTGTTTCCCTGGATGGGTTATCCAGTAGCACATTATATAGAAATGGTCAGAGGAGACATCGTTGACTTGCTTCTGATCTTATAGTGACCATATTCAGTCTTCATCACTGAAGTATGATGATACTTGGAAGTCTAACATTTCTTGGTTTTAGAAAGTTTTTTCTTATTTAGCTGAAAGTTTTAATGAGGGTGCTGAATTATGTCAAATGCTTTTTCTGCATGTATTGAGTACTCATATGGTTTTTCTACTTTATTTTGTCAATGTGGTGAATTGCATTGAATGATTTTGGAATAGAAAACATCCTTATATTCTGGAATGAATTCCACTTGGTCATAGTGTTTCATCTCTTTTTATATATTTCTGGATTATTTGCTTAAGAGTATTTTGCTTAGGAATTTATAATCTATATTCATGAGAGATTCTGTACATAATTTTCTTCTCTTGTAATGTTTTTGTCAGCTTTTGCTATCAGGATAATGCTGGCCTAATAAAATGAATTGGAAAACATCTCTCCTCCATTTTCAGTCAGATTTAGCATAAAATTGCAAAACTGTTACAGCAGTTTCCCCTTATCATCAGGGGATACATTTCAACCCCCAACAAATGCCAGAAACCATGGATAGTACCGAACCCAATTGCCGTCTATTGGAACACATTTCTGTTCATGTCTTCCACTCACAAATTTAATCTTTCCTATATTAACTAAGTACTTATCAAGCATTGTAGCCAGAGTTTTGCAGTTAAAGGTAGGACAGCAGAACTAGCATGAATTTATTTTTCTTTCTACACAATTCCACGAATAGAAGATTTGTTCTTACCATAGATCTTAGCAAATTCATTGTACCACTATTTTTTCTTTCCTTAAGTCAAGAAGGGTCACCTTTTCACTTAAAGAAAGCGATTTACGCTTTCTCTTTGGCAATGTGGATTATCAGCATCAATACTCTTGCTCTTTGGCACCATTATTAAGTGAAATAAACATTACTTGAACACAAGCACTGTGATACAATGACAGTAGATCCGATAACAAGAAGGCTAAGTGACTAACAGACAAGTAACATAGACAGCATAAAGACACTGAAAAAAGGGATGATTCACATCCCAGGTGGAAGGGAAATGGACAGCATAAGATTTCATCCCACTGCTCAGAACAATGTGCAAACTTATGTGACTGTGGATAACTGAAACTCAGGAAAGTTAAACTGTGGCTAAGGGAGGACTACTGCATTGATTCCTGAAATGCTTAAGAGAATTTATTGGTGTATACATCTGTGCCTAGAGTTTTCACAATAAAAAGGTTGATATTTTTTAATTCAATTCATTTGATAGATATAAAGGTATTGGTATTTTAATGTTTTATCTATCAAGGAATTTTAGTTATTCATAATATTGCCTTATATGATTTTAACATGTGTATAATTTTTTTAATATATTTTTAAAAATTTCTGATACTGAAAATTTATATCTTCTCTTTATTTTTTCTTAACAGTCTTACTGGAAGCTTATCAGTTTTATAAAACTTTTCAAAAAAATCAACATTTGGTTATGTCAATTTTCTCTGTTGTCTTTTCTTTTTCTATATCTATGGATTCCTTTTTATGTCTTCCATATATCTGCTTTAAATCCTTGAGCATATTTATATATTAAACAGTTGTTTTAATGTCCTTGTTTGCTGCTTCCATTTCTCTGTCATTTTTGTATCTGTTCTATTAACTAATATTTCTCCTGATTATAGACCACATTTTCCTTCTTTAAAAATCTAGATATTGTGGGGTTTGCTTGTGAAATATTATTAATTTTTTATTATTACTGTTAGATTTATTTTCTTCCTTTGAATTGTGTTGGATGTTGTTTTAAGCCACTTACAGAGCCATTTGATTATTTTAAGGTTGGTTTCTATGCTTTTCAAGGGTGGATCTAGATGAACCTTTATTCTAGAGCTAGTTTGGCCCCATGACTAATACCCTGAGCCAGCTTCATATCGTACAAACTGTTTAGTTGCATAAGGGCCTGAACTAAGAGAGGCTCTGCCCTTGGCTCTACTATCACTATCTTGAAATCCTTAAATAATTTTATTATTGAATTTGTGTTTCATGTAATCCAATGTCTGAAGACAGTTGTTTCAGATGATGTTCCCTACCTGTTTGGTTGTTGTTTACAGTGGGAGAGAACCCTTACTAATACTGGGTTCTCCAGTGAAACAGAACAAATGGGGTAAATAGTGATATATACATAGACAGATATTTATTATGAGGTATTGACTCATGCAATTATGCAGGCTGAGACATCCCAAAATCTGCTGTCTGTAAGCTGGAGGCCCAGGAAAGTTCTTCATGTAGTTGAGTTAAAGCACAAACACCTGAGAACCAGGACAGCCAATGTCTTAGGGCAAGAGAAAATGAGTATCCCACCTCAAGAAGAGAGAGTTAATTCACTCTTCTATTCAATCCTTCAATGGATTGAATGATGCCTGCCCATTTTGGTGACAGCAGTCTTCTTTACTCAGTCAGCTGATCCAAGTGCTAACCTCTTCTACAAGCATCCTCACAGATGCACTGAAAAATAATAGTTTAGCATCTATCTGGGCATCCCTTCATCCAGTTAAGTTGATACACAAAATTAACCATCACAGTCCCATAAGGAGTCATGAAAACCCCTTCATATGAAAAAGCAGAAATCAATAAGATAACATGAACATATTGAAGATTATTTTTGAAATGTAAATATACATTTTAAAAATAGAAAATAGAAATTATATATTTTACTTGTTTAATACTACTGAATTTTGAAACTGAAAATTTCTACCTTCCTTTGCACCAAGTTGTTACTCTCAGCTTTTTCATTCCTTGATGATATTTTTGTGTAAGATAAGTTATGGATGCTTAAAATTATGAGCAGTATTTAGTATTATTCAGTTTATTTATAGAAAATATTTGTTCACAATTATAAACAGATGCAAATACCTGTAAAATACCTAGAACTATCCCACAGATATTTGTAGAATTCTGGTATTCAAACATTGCCCAAGAACTCTCCTTTGAAGCTCTATATGCACATTAAGTAGTAATAGTGAAATGTGAATTAATGTTATTCTATTTACATAAAATTAAAAACTAAAATTTTTTAAAATTCATTCTACTAGGCCAGCACTTTGGAAATATAATTCAGACTAACATTTTAAGTTTAGGAACTAGTTTCACATAGGAAACTATTCCACTTTATTCTTTCTCAATATTGTTTCCCAAAAGCACAGCTTCCACAGGAAAGAACTTACGAGTCTTCTTGCAGATAAATTTCCCCAAAAAAGTAATGGCTGGGCCCAAATGCCAATAGTGTTGAAATTGAGAACTTCTTCCACAGTGGAAGTTACCCTAAGAATTAAAAAGGTCAGAATCTCAAAATACATTTATCAAGGAAGACGTGTTCACCGATTCACTGACTCTATGTCCTAGAATGGTTCAGAGGAAACTCTCTTTACTACAGCTGTGAGAAATATGTTTGTGAGAGGAACTCCAGTATCCTTGAGAAGCTATGTGGTAGCTATTTATTTTCTGTATAGCAGGAATGACAAAGGGAACCGCTGTTATTAGAATAGGCTCCCTGAATTCAGTGGGGATGATAAGAATCCAGAGTGGCAGTGACCACACACGAACAGCAACACTTAATTGCCAAAGAAAGATGGTTACCATCATGGCCAACAAAACTGAAGCCAGCATTGTAATATTTTGGCCTGCCTACATTTTGGCCAATTTAGGCCAATTAATCTTAATGTTTCTAGAGGTGAACTAGATAGAAAATCTAATAAAGTTTTATTCAATTTATATTACTAGAAAAGTGCTAGGTCTGGTGAACACAAGTCTGACTTGTGTCACCCCACTAGAAAGTAACAATTCTTTCACTAACTCAGTTAGGAGTTTACAGCCCAGAGCCTTTATATAAAAAGGAGCCAACATTCTCTTAAGGATATACTGCTCCAATACTAAAAAAAAAAAATAAGCGATTCCTCTTTTGGTCTCCCAAGGTCACTAAGATATCTGTGCATCAGAGAGATGGATTAACCAAAATTTTCAGTTTGTTGCTCACTCACTAGACTGACACTAACTCCTGGAGACTCAAAACGCTTCTGTGGTCCAATAATCAGAACAGGGGTGTATGGAGGTCAGCTAATGAGCAGAATTTTGGTTTAATAAGCCCAATATATCTTTGAAACCATTGTGTGGTTATTTCCTCTACTTCAGAATGCAGAATTGGAATAAACAGACTCAGCTTCTAATAGAATCCCCATGTTGGCTTCCTGACCATGAAAGATCAGATGAGGCACCCAGAGCTGCTTGTACCTAACAAATATTAAACCAATAGCAATACCACATTTTTTGAGAGATTTCAATTACTCGTGTCACCATCTGGAGTGACGGTAAAACACAGAGAGCAATTCCTACCTCAAATAGTTTAGAATTCTCTGAAACTGTTCTTACACAGGATACCATAAATGAAAACTTCTATCTCCAAGTTCTACAATCATGGTTTCTGGGTTTTCTTGAAAGTAGTACTTCTGATAATGCAGTGAGTAAAACATTATGCCCATGCAACTACACAATGTATTTCCAAAACCCACCCGATCAGAGACCCTATCAGAGAAACAGAACTGCAGAGCCCAATAGCCGATCAGAGACCCTATTAGAGAAACAGAACTGCAAAGCCCAGTAGCTATGAGGTGATATTAAATAGATTCAAGCTAACCCTCTACCGTATGGTTGACATTCTTTTCCTTGATCAGAATTATAAACCCCTCCCAAAATTCGTCATAATTTCTCCCTAAAAGTGGAGTTAATTAGACTAAAGCTAGTTCATCTTCCAATTTCAGTTTAGCTTCATTTACATGTTCTTTCTCATAGTAATGGTGTTACCATGGGGTACCCCTTCATTGTCCCAGTTAAAATGAGGCATGAAGAGTATAACTTCAGTTCTTTCAGTTCCATTTAATCAATTTTCCATCATGCTCTTCACTCACTTTAATATTACATTTTCTTAGAAAAACTCTCATTCTTCCTAGATATTTAAATTTGCATGTGTATGAATAGCTACGCATGATACATTCTTGTTAGTTTGATATACTTTCTGTCTGTGGGCATATTTTCTTCCTTGCTCTTAAAATTATTTGCCTGTTTCTCTCCTTTGTTTTAGGATGAGATTTACCACAGTTATTGATTTCCTTATTAATATTATTTTGGCCCCATCCTATAAATTTTGATATGCATTATTGCCCTTGTCATTCATTTCCAAATATATTTTTTAATTTTCAAAGTATATTTTTACTTAATTTAATTTTATTTCATTCTTTTGTTGCTTTGCTCTCCTCTGTATCTAGGAAAATATCCCCTTCCTTCTTCTTAACATTTATGATATTTCCTCTTCTCTGTGATCAAAGTTTTCACAGATTCCACTGAAGTAGGTAGGGGTGTGACTATTTTGTTGTTTTGTGTTGTTAACAATTATATTCCATTAGTTTTGTTTTTAGATTAATTTCTTATGTCTCTGGTTGATTTTACAGTTTTCTTTTTTCTAATCTTGAATTGAAATCATTTGATTTATGTTTTAATTTTTTGTTTAATTATAGGAAGTGATTGAGCCTGTGGTCTCAGATTATTGCTTAGGATAAATACAGCAGATTTCTATATATATCATATTTTCAGTTTTGAGTTTGTGTTTGGCAAAAAGTTATGAAAGTTTTTATAATTCTTCAAATCATTTATATATCTTTGATTATCTTAGATTTAAATTTTTCAACACATGATTTCTTCCAACACACCACTTTTAAAGGAATAGAGTCCAGAGAAGTCAGTTTGCTAAATGTCATGCAGCTAGCTCCTGCCAAACCTTTGAATTTTTGGGATTTTTTATTTTCCACCTAACTGCACTGTATTTTTCTGTTTCTTACAGCACCTATTCTTAATAGCTATACTGTGCCTGCTTTTAATTTTCTTAGTTAAATGCCTATTTTATGAATACTATTTCCCAAATATCGATATTACAATTGTCTCTCAGGAGATCGATTTTGAAATAGTTGATACTTTTAAAAAGATATTTCCTGTGCAATCATGGACACACGCCCACACTCAATCATGGCGGATTCATTCCAAGACCACTAAGGCTTTACCAAAACTAAACCTATTTGCTTAAAAATAAACAATCAAAGAACCCTTCCCTCGGATGTTATTTTCTCATAGATATGTCAATAGCTATGAGTGTTAACAAAGATCCTCGACTAAATCCCGAGATAATTAGTTTTCAAAGATTCCTAAGTATGGTCAGAATAAAATAATACATACTGTCTAACTTTTTAGGGTCACAAAGAAGCTTTTTATCTAATGACACATACCTTAAAAATCATCTAATATCCTAGAAATCGCAAGTATTATCTTGCCTTCCTTAATAAAGGAGAAAAATTTTATAAGGAGAATAAGTATATTTCCAGTCAGCATTTTTTCAAATCATAGTTGAATCGTTTCACTGTTGTTTTTATGTTTCTTCCTAGTGTAGGTAATCACAGATAATTCAACCACACTGGCAATATGTATATTTTTCACAATTATTAATATCAGGAGAAATAATTGTGCCCTTTAGAGTTAACAAGCCAATCTATTTCCAGCATATGGTATCATATTTTGAAAAGACAGAGAAGCAGCTTTGACATAAGAATAGAGAAACATGAGATAACCACTTCTTCCTCTAAATCTATTCAATTCCAAAAAGAAAATGTTCTTTCTTTTGGAGCAGAGAGAAAAATATCCTATAAAACTATCAGTCATGTTAAATCATAATTAATTTAAATCATAGCCATCTTAACTTAAAAGTGATTTTTTTGTTATTTTATAGTGCAGAATCAAGTTCATTACATGAGAAAGGCCCAGAGTCAAAAGTGACCGGAGGTAGGAAGGACGTGGATGTCAGGGACTCTCAGAGCTCCTAGACCCCAGAGGGCAGATTGCCACACACCTAAAGAGGTGCACTAGTGGGGAAGGGCGATGGCTCAAAACCATACTGGCCTTTTTCAACCATTTTGCTGAGGGCTTAACATTTCTCAACCCTACTTGTAAAATAAAATCACCTGGAAAGCTTTGTAAAAAGTGCCAATAATTCTGTTGCATCTCAGACCAATTAAATCGAGCTTCTGGAAGTGAAGCTCAGCCATCAGCATTTTTCAAAGCTCCTCTGGTAAATGTAAATTGCAGTTTGGCTTAAGAACTCTTGAGCTCAATTCTGGTCACATTGCTCTCAGAGATTTGTCCTTGAGAGATTTAGGTGCAACAATTGACAGTGGCTCCTAGAAAATTTGAAGAATTTTACCTTCTCATTTCTTTAGACCATGATCGGCTTGCCTTTCAAAGAAGTAAACTTTGACTTGGAGGTGCCATTTGGGGCTCTTTTAATTGTTCTAATGTGAACTTGGCTATCATCTTCCGAATATTTCAACTGTCTACACAATACTGCATTTTACCCCTTTAAAAAACAGAAGATCCACTGTTAGCATATGCTTTTACCATCCAATTTCCTGAGTATATTTTTCTAGTGTTTTTCTGAAATCAAAACTAATAAGAGAGGATACTATAATATCTCTGAATCCACCAGTTAGAAAAGCTATGGGCCATTAATGAACACTGTAGGGCAGATGACACAGAATGATACCTCGGGTTTGGTTTAGAATACAGTGGGGAGTCCAATCAGGCAAGTATGGGCCAATTTCAAGGAATTTGGCCACAGTGCAAGATCCAAGATTCTCCAAGTAGATGTTTGGTAGCAAGGATATAAGACAATAGGATGAGATCTTGCAGCAAAAGAGCACAAGGATATGGAGTAAAAAGCTGGGACATTCAGCATAGTGTCTGGAATTCCAAATAGAGAGAAAATTGATTATAGAAATAATGTGTATGCATAGCAAATGCCAAGCTACCAGGGCTACACAAAACAAATGCTGGGTCCCAGGAATTCGTTTCAGCAGAGAAGGGTTGCTAAAACAGGCCTTCAGAGTAATCAGGGAGGTGTTGGATTTAGCAGCAATGTTAATCAGAATAAGGCCTTGTCTCAGGGAAGGAATCCAAAATTGGAACAAAATCTAGAGAGGGAGAATGCCACTACAAAAGTCATCTTGACTTTTTTCTAGGTTTACCCATATATGAATCAGAGTATTGTAGAACCTAACAGTGCAATCTCTGGAACCCAGATATCTGAGTTTGCTTCCCAGAGCTGCTAGTTTGGATAATTTAAATGATCTTTGACTTATTCCTTATCTGTAAAATGGAGGAAATAGTAGATGGGCTTTCTGTTAATTTTACATAACTGAAGTTTTAAAACTCAACAATAACTGAGGACTTAAGTGGTATAAAGAGTCTAATTTTGGCTGGGTGCCATGGCTCATGCCTATTATCCCAGCACTTTGGGAGGCCGAGGTGGGTGGATCACGAGGTCAAGAGATCAAGACCATCCTGGCCAATATGGTGAAACCCCATCTCTACTAAAAAATACAAAAGTTAGCTGGGCTTGGTGGTGCCTGCCTGTATGTAGTCCCAGCTACTCGGGAGGCTGAGGCAAGAGAATCGCTTGAACCTGGGAGGTGGAGGTTGCAGTGGGCCAAGATCGTGCCACTGCACTCCAGCCTGGTGACAGAGTAAGACTCTGTCTCAAAAAAAAAAAAAAAAAAAAAAAGAGTCCAATCTCCTGATACCCTGAACATGTCTCTAAGTCTGTTCTTTCCTTGAGGACTCAAAAATAAATAAGAAATATTTAAAAATTGGTACCACGTTTGAGATTCCATAAGAAATTGCCCAATTTAAGACCCTAAAACATTAAAGACACTTTTAGTTTTGTGGTTCTTTTACCTGTAGGCAGGTCTGTAGGGAGTACATCTTCACATCATATTATTCCCTGGGGGAAAAAATATATATTTTACAGACTTAGTCTTTAACATTTAACTTAATTATAGATTTGTCTGTATACATATTGGAGCAAATATATAGAGAATATTTTAGGTGAAAAAAAGAATTTATTATCATCTTGTTTCACAAAAACCAAAAAAGAAAAATCAAGATATAATGAATACGTAGTATAAAAATAGATACTGAGAAATTTTTAATTCTAGTCCAGGCTCTAAAACTACCTGCTGTGAAACGGAACAAGTCACAGCCTCTATATTTGAAATTCAGTTTCCTCATTTGTGAGAGTAAGGGCGGGGGTGTCTTATGCTAGATCCTGATGATCCTGCCCAAGTCCAAAGTTTCATTTCTTTATATAAGGAAATTTACTATATGCCAATAAATTATAACTTATTCAAAAATATAATTTTTACAACTTCCTTATTAGTTGAAATGTGAGAGAATCTGCCCGTTATGAAAACAAATTCCACTGTTTGTCCATCAGTGACACTTAAGAGATCAGAGCTATATTCGGAACATCCTGCTCTTCAAGATCAAATGGCCTATTTCAACCTGTTTAGATCTGGTTTAGGTGGGGAATTGTCATCCACTCCTCACAGGCACAGAGGCTTTTTTCCCTAATAAAATCCAGGCATCTAGCAGTACAATCTTCACTATCCAGGTTCTCAGAAAGCCAAGTTCATCTGTTGAACGTCCCCGCCCTTTGTCTCCTTCCCAAGGGTTCCTCTGTCTTTACCTCCCACCTCCACTCCATGAGTTTCCAGTTGGTGGCCTAAGAGATGAGGAAAAGGAGCATGGACCATATTCACCAGCCTGGCTTCAGGGTCAATATCTACAGAATTAGCATGATCTGAGCACTGTACATTATATGTATGGAAACATTACTATGTACCCCATGAATATGTACAGTTAGTATTTGTTAATTAAAATAAAATTTAAAAATTGTTGATCTATGGAGTCTGTATTACTTGTATAAGTTGATTCTTTCTTACATGATTATTATAAACGATTATGCTAAAATGGCTTCTCATTCCTCCACTTTGAGTTCAATTTAAGACAATTCCCTTCTTTTATCCTCACTTGGTTAGTGTCCAGATGAAAAGTGAAATAAAAATTCTGGCCTGCCACATAAACTATGAGTGTCAACCATTTATCTGCTTATTCTTGTTAGAACACAATAAATAATAAAATAGTTTTATTTAACTCCTATGCCTCATTAGATAACAGAAACATAATAAGCAACTTATGATTTTATTACTTCAGTAATTAGATTGTGACTTTTTTCCTTCTATTACTAAAATACGTTATTTAGGCAGAAATTGTCATTTCCATTGTTTTAATGTATTGATATTCTGAGTTTATTAACAAAATGCCTTGTACTCTGAAATTATTCTAAAATACCTTGAAATATAATACCTTGTCTCACCTTAGGAAAAACCACTGCTATAAAGAGTTTGAGGTTGGCTTTTGTAGCCATAGTCTATTTTAGTGAGATGATTTTGTCAATTGCTATTTTGATCTACTTTCTTTTTCTTTTTTGGGACAGGGTCTCTCTGTCACCTGGGTTGGAGTGCAGTGGTGTGATCACAGTTCACCGCAGCCTCGCACTTCTAGATTCAAACGCTGATCTATTATGTTTTAATTGTATAATTCTCCAATCATTTTTAGGTGGTAAGAGGGATTTGTAATAAGGCATTTTTTTTAATTTTTTTTTCCCTGAAGCTCCACTTACAAGCCCTATTTTTAAAACGTGGAAACTGAGAATTAAAGTGATTGCAGGACTAGCTCAATGATGCTGTTAGTAAACTCATGAAGTAGAATTAAAACCCAGATACTCTTACCTCAAATTTAAGGATTTCTCTTTACCTCTTTATGCGTCCACATTGTGGTAGATGTGTGAAAAACCACAAATTAAATGCTACCCACAGACGTGAAAAAAAGCAGAATTGAAAACTGAGAGTTCACTTTCAACCAGCAGCGTGATCCGGCCCACTAGCTGCTTAGGAGCAAGAGATCAAAGATCACCCTATCTGTTTTGCCTGACGATTATAAGATTTCTCCACAACAGAACCTTAGTTTCTTTTCAGGCACATTGGTTATTCTAATTCAAACTCTGCAGGGGCATTAGACAGCAGCCAATCCTCAAGTTATTGAAGCTTTTAGAAACCTGAAAACTCCATTGCCAGTTTAGAAGATTGGGCAATGAGAACAGGCTCACGCCTGATGATTTATCAATCATGTAAACTTATAGCACAATCTTATGCTAACAGCAGGACAATATATAATAAATGAGCAAATATATTACTTAGAACAGGTTCTGCTTACTGCAAATATGTGTTATGCTTACAACAAATATGTACAAAAAACATTTAGAACCATTTTGTATCTTTTAGGAAGTTCCAAAGACTTGACAATGAGAAATCAAATTTAAATGTTTCTTTGCTTTCATCATTTATTATCAAATTAATTTTTTACTAAGAAAAGATGTCTGGGGCTGCTTTTATGTTTTGTAATTTTCATCCCAATGTATGAATATATTATTTTATTGCTAAAAATTAAGTTAAGTAAAGAAAGATTATTTAGGAATAAATATTATCATTACCCAAAAAATGCAATATAATTGATTATTATATTATGCTAAATATATATTATATATATTTTAGAATAATTTTTAACCTGCAAATTACTAACACTCATTATTTTACAGAGTTGACTCAACATTACAGAGATAGCAATGATAAGAGGCCGTTGCACCAGAGTTGCATAGAGGTTTGGCTGTAGCTCTGGAATAAGACCACTTTCCACCTGCTTGCTCAAAACCTTAGGCTATTTATTTAACTTTTTAACTTTGGCCTCACAGTTTATGAAACTGTAACATACCAGTGCCTCCCTTGTAAGATTTGTTGTGAAGAGTTAGTAAGATAACCCATGCAAAACCCTAAGCCCAGCACTTTTTTTGATGAGAGCTCCTGTTAATATCATCAGTGTAATTTCCCAAATAACTCTCTGACATTTTTTTCCTAAAGATGCATCAATCAGGATTATTGTCCACCTACTACTTGGATAGGTACTGAAATTATCCACTCTAAATAGGAGACAGTGTCAATCTGAATTTTTGGTTATTGCGATATGGCAAAACAGTGCATCTCCTGTTCCTTAGATTTTGACAGAATATCACTTGATGCCAAGAAGGATCTTCTTATTCTTTTCTATCAAGTACTCCTGACTTACAAGAAAAGTGCATTTTACCAAAATACAGCAATAGATAATTGATGCCAATTATGTGGTGGTTGTATCTTTAGAAAAATTATAAATAATGTATACAATTATACAACTTATTTTGATAAATATAGGAAATATTTTAAAGCACTTGCCTCTGTTGTATATTTTAATCAGTTAGAAAAATTAAAGGAAAGGGGTAATGAGAAAGAGAAGGAGATTAAATTAAAAAATGAGGTGTTGGTGATTAAAAGCAACAGAGAGTAAAGAAAATGAGAGAAGAGAAATAATCAGAAGAATGGAAGGGAAAAGAGATAGAGGTTCTTTGGCAGGGGAGGAAACATATTCTAAAAGAGAAAAATGAACACTACTGCCAGAAAATAACAGAACGTCCCTTTGTGCTCAAATCAGAGCAGGTTTATAGATACAACAGGAGCTAGTGATTTCCTTGCCCTGGTCCATCAAAGAAGTCTAATTTCCCTGTCACAGAACCCAGCAACATCCCTATCCTTTCAGTTCCCAATTCTAACAGCTTTCCTGACACTCCCTTATTCCCAGCTGCCAGTTTTGTCAAACTTCTTCATCTGCTATCCACTGATGATGATTTGTCAAGCACAAGGGCCAAACTGACCCTCTCTGTCTTTTATTTGTTGTAACCCCAAGTATTGTGACACTGGAAACCACTCCACTGTCTCTGCTACCAACCCCAGTTTATAAAATTGACTTTAGAGAATGTTGTGCTATCATTGTCTCTTTCTGATCTAAGTGACCTGCTGAGAGTAGCAGGCCCCTATAGGGACCTTTCTATAGTGAATGAATCCTTTATCATATGGGTCACCCTTGATGGCTGGTTCTTAGTTTCTGAAAATTACTTACGGTACTAGAATAAAGACGTTTGGATTGCACAGACTGGAAATGAGATTGCTGGAAGGAGAAACTGTGGAGAGTAAGCATAGATTTTGTCAACTTTTTATTTTCCCAAGTAAGATATTTTCTTTTGAAGAATGTAAATGTGTCATTTAACCCTCCTATTTAAGACCCTTCTTTTAACATGGTTTCATAGGCCTTGTAGGATCTGGTCCCTAGCTGACCTCTCAGGCCATCTCAATCCATATCCCTCCTTGTTATCTGCAAGTCTGATCTGTGCACACACAGAGCCCTCCACATAAAGGTATTCTTTTCTTCTTTTGCCTAGTTAACTCTTACACATTCTCCAGAGTTCAGTTTAGATACCACTTCTTTATTGAGCTCAATTATCATCTCTACCTAGACATCACCCCATTCCTCTCCAGATTAGACAGGCTGCCTCTGTTACATGTTCTGATAGCACAAACTACTTTTCCTTCATAGCATTTAGCACAGTGTGGTATGTGTATACATGTGCATGATGGATTATTGGATAAATATGTTTCTGACTGAATTATAAGCTCTATGAAATAATAAATCAAAGCTGATAGTGTCATTGTTGTATTTCTTTTGTCTTTTATCTTGGATATAATTTATATAGGGTAAGTACTAAGAATAACAGTTGTTAAATGATTGGATTAATTGTTGGCTAAAGAAAAAAAATAAGCTTTTAAAGAATTAAAATTAGTTTTATTTAGAAGTCTTACTTAGAACTATAGACTGAGGCCTACAGCCGAGAAGGAGTCTTTTAGAGAGGTTTTGTCAGACTGTTCTGACACAGTATTTTAGCCCACTGTTTATGTATAGATAGTGGGAGTTTAGAAAGCATAAAGTCATATCAAACTTGTGTAGAACTTATGTTAAAGTTGAATTATATCAGAATTGGGATGTAAAAGTATACTTGGCATTAGGTTACAGAACCGTAATCACTAACAACATCAGACAGACGTTATCTTATGTGTAGGAAGACACAAAAACATGGGTCATTTATCTTTTAAGGAGTATAGTAACTCAAGCAAGAGAGGTCAGGGGCCTTGTGCTCTATTCTGTTTTGTCTTCAAAGTACCTTTCTGGTGAGCTGTACATAGTCACAGAGGCAGAGACTTGTAAAATTATGCTGGCAAGCAGAAATAAGCAAACATGGCTTCCTATGTTTGCTACTTTGTCTGACAAGTTTTTCCTTTTGGTCAGAAATTAACCTTCTGGTTGTATTTATAAGACCAACTTTGTCTCAGGTAGCTAAGAAGACTCTTTTTTAGCAAGGTCGGTAATCGTTAGCTGTAGTTGTAAGGAATGAGTATTGGGCCCAACATGTATATTCTTCTATTTATTGAAAAATATGTTTTGGATTGTATCTATTTTTTAATTAATCTGTTTTTTTAGACGTCTTATTTTTCTACCAATTTAACACCTTAACCAAACTATTATAAGAATATTGTAGATTATATATAGCAGTATATCTTTAATAGTATCAAAGTAAGTTATAGATTGGAAAAATACATGATAAACATTTAACAAAATTTGAACATATATTTGTATCATTTCTATTAATTACATTTTGGTATCTATATTATTAAAGTCTTTTTTATGAAAAGCAATTTTAGGATAGAGTTGATAGTAAATGCTTTTAGAAACTATGGATGACAAAAATTTACAATAGTTACAGTTAAAATTTAACAAAAGTTTTTAATTGACAGGGAAATTTAGTTATTTTTATTATATGCAGTATTTTAAGATAATTAGAATTATGACTGACAGAGGTGACAGCGTGCTGGCAGTCCTCAGAGCCCTCGCTGCTCTCAGCACCTCCCCTGCCTGGGCTCCCACTTTGGTGGCATTTGAGGAGCCCTTCAGTCCCCCACTGCACTGTGGGAGCCCCTTTCTGGGCTGGCCAAGGCTGGAGCCCACTCCCTCAGCTTGCAGGGAGGTGTGGAGGGAGATACACGAGCGGGAACCGGGGCTGTGTGCGGCACTTGCAGGCCAGCTGAAGTTCCAGGTGGGCGTGGGCTTGGTGGGCCCCCGCACTCGGAGCAGCCAGCCAGCCCTGCTGGCCCCGGGCAATGGGGGACTTAGCACCCGGTCCAGTGGCTGCGGAGGGTGTACTGGGCCCCCCAGCAGTGCCGGCCCACCAGCGCTGCGCTCGATTTCTCATGGGGCCTTGGCTGCCTTCCCACGGGGCAGGGCTAGGGACCTGCAGCCCGCCATGCCTGAGCCTCCCACCCCCTCCGTGGGCTCCTGTGCTGCCCGAGCCTCCCCGACGAGCACCACCCCCTGCTCCACGGCACCCAGTCCCATCGACCACCCAAGGGCTGAGGAATGCAAGCGCAGGGCGCAGGACTGGCAGGCAGCTCCACCTGCAGCCCGCGTGTGGGATCCACTAGGTGAAGCCAGCTGGGCTCCTGAGTCTGGTGGGGACGTGGAGAGTCTTTATATCTAGCTCAGGGATTGTAAATACACCAATCAGCACCCTGTGTTTAGCTCAAGGTTTGTGAGTGCACCAGTCGACACTCTGTATCTAGCTGCTCTGGTGAGGAGGTGGAGAACCTTTATGTCTAGCTCAAGGATTGTAAATACACCAATCGGCACTCTGTATCTAGCTCAAGGTTTGTAAACACACCAATCAGCACCCTGTGTTTAGCTCAAGGTTTGTGAGTGCACCAATCGACACTCTGAATCTAGCTGCTCTGGTGGGGCCTTGGAGAACCTGTGTGTGGAAACTCTGTATCTAACTAATCTGATGGTGACATGGAGAACCTTTGTATCTAGCTCAGGGATTGTAAACGCACCAATCAGCGCCCTGACAAAACAGGCCACTCGGCTCTACCAATCAGCAGGATGTGGGTGGGGCCAGAAAAGAGAATAAAAGCAGGCTGCCGGAGCTAGCATTGGCAACCCGCTGGGGTCCCCTTCCACACTGTGGAAGCTTTGTTCTTTAGCTCTTTGCAATAAATCTTGCTACTGCTCGCTCTTTGGGTCCACGCTGCTTTTATAAGCTGTAACACTCACCGCGAAGATCTGCAGCTTCAGTCCTGAGCCCAGCGAGACCACAAGCCCACCAGGAGGAATGAACAACTCCAGATGCGTTGCCTTAAGAGCCGTAACACTCACCGCGAAGGTCTGCAGCTTCACTCCTGAGCCAGCGAGACCACGAACCCACCAGAAGAAAGAAACTCCGTACACATGTGAACATCAGAAGGGACAGACTCCAGACACGCCACCTTAAGAGCAGTAACACTCACTGTGAGGGTCCACGGCTTCATTCTTGAAGAACCCACCAATTCCGGACACAACAGTATCATATAAGGAGGCTCAGACTCTTATAAACTTTATATAATTTTTAGAATATTTATATTAATGATATATTTATATAAATATAACTAGAAATATTTAATGTCAATCAAAACTATGATGTTAGAATTTTATTAATTTATGTAATTTTTAGACTATATTAATTGCATATTTATAAACATAACTGAAAGAATATATGGTATTATTTGATAATATATTTATATAATTTATTAAATAAGTATTGAGGAAACGTTGAGTAGGGGAATATATTGTTCTCAGTAACAGCATGAAAAGGTTTTTGGTTATATTCTTCAATTTAGACATAAGGAGCCAAAAGTACAGAATTAATTTATAATGGAAAAAAGTATATATATATTTTAGACTTTCAAAATAAACATTATAGCATCAGACCACAACAGTAATGAGAAATGGAGAAAAAAAAACTTAACAGGAGTAGAAAAAAGTTTCAAGGAGAAAGTTGTTATCTTAGCGAAGTAAAAAGGTACACTATTTCCAGAGGAAAAGGAACAGAAGGTAATGATTTTTGTCCTCTAAATTATGTGTAGTGAGGTATACCAGAAATTAAACTTTTGAGATATAAATATAAGAAGCTTTTAAAAGAAGCTGGTTTTAAAATTAAAAATTAAAATCTGTTGTGATTTCATTAGGGGTAAATTAATATTTTAAGAAGACCTTGTTGTAACATGGGAAACAAAAATTTTTAGTTTTGTATTAGTTTATTTTTAATATTAAATGTTAATCTTTAAAAATTATAAAGACATAGTTTTTTAAATTATAGCTAACAATTATATATAAAATTTATTTTATAAATTTTTTTTACAAACTTTATTATGTCCATTTATGACATGTTTGAGCTTTCTGCTTTGTCTTTAAAAAAACAGTCATTTTATTTTAGGAAAAAAATTATTATATAACTTTTTTATATATAAATTTTAAACTTTTAATTGAAATATATGTATAGATCCATAAATTTTTATATTTTCATCTCCTATTTACTGTTTTTTCTTGTAAATAACCTGTAAATAACCTCTGAATCAGACCAAATTATTTTTATTAAAGAGATATTTGTATATTTATGAATTTTGTATATTGCATATATAGAGTTACATGTTAAACATTTTAAATATTTTGTTAACTTAAATTTTAGCGAAACCCTAGAAAGCAGGAAATTTTGAATTGTCCATCACATAGTATTTTACACATAAAAACTATTTTATGAGTCTTAGAAATAGGTTTTTTTATAATTTTTAAAATTAGAAATGACCTAGACATTTAGTGAGTATTTATTATTTAATTTAACATAACTTTTTAAAAATTATATTAAAAGTTTACTTATGTGTTTATCTCATTCACTGTTATCTAACTTTAATAGTTTATCTAGATTATTTATGAGCACTGAGATATTAGTCAAAGCTAGTCATCATTTTAAGTTATTTTCCTGTTAACCATTTTCCTGCTAACCATTTAATCTTAAAGTTAAATATATCAATATTTTGTAGATAACTTCAAAGATATAGCTGTTTTTATTAAACCAATAATATTAAATTAATCATTAATTTTAAAATTTTATAAAGATTATTTTGGTTTTGGCTTGGTTTATAGTTTTATAATCTTTGTTTCAAACCTGGACACTGTAAATTATATATCAGATACAAATATAAATTTGTCTGACCAGTGAGTGCAGGCAAAAATGTATGTTGAGAATTTTGAAGAAACGTTTATTTCATCAATAATTTTAAAAACCTGCTTATTTATTAAAGATTTATTTAAGTCATGTGAACTTGGAAAATATTTAACAGGGGGTGGGCGAACTATATGCTCTATTCTGTTTTGTCCTCAAAACGTATCTCCAGAGAGCTGTGTGTCAGCCATCACAGAGCCAGAGGCTTATAAAATTATAATGACAAAGAAAAATAAAGAAACAACGTGACTTACTATGTTCACTACTTTGTCTCACTGAGTGAATACTTTCAATTGCTTTAAAAAGGTCGTTTTAGGCTGGCCCGCTGTGCACCCTGTAACCCCAGCACTTTGGGAGGCCGAGGCCAGCGGATCACCTGAGTTCGAGACCAGCCTGACCAACATGGAGAAACCCTGTCTCTACTAAAAATACAAAATTAGCCAGACGTGGTGACACATGACTGTAATCCCAGCTACTCTGGAGGCTGTGGCAGGAGAGTCGCTCAAACCCGGGAGGCGGAGGTTGCAGTGAGCTGAGATCATGCCATTGCACTCCAGCTTGGGCAATAAGAGCGAAACTCCATCTGAAAAAAAACAAAAAAAAAAGGTTGTTTTAGCACCAAATGATAAAGAACAACCAAATCTTAGCACTGGGAGAATTTTAACCTAAATTTCAAATAGCTTGACCAAAAAAAAAAATTATTTATATTTTTTATTCTGTGGATTAAAAAAATCTTAATTATGTACCTGAAATTAATCTATGATCTATCCTTTCTCTGCACTTAAAGATCAATTGTCCTAGATATAAGACATAACCATTTTTATGACATTGGCAAGAAATATACTGAAATGGCACAAATTTTTTTTTTTATAAATACAGGATCTTGCTTCCTAGTGATAAGAACCATGTATAAAAGGAATGCTGTCAATTTCCAGCAGAAGGTAAAAGTAGTTCGAAATTTATCCTGCAAATTTCTGTTGCTTCCTGACACGGTGCCCACAATTTTCCCTAGGCTTGTTTTATCTTGTTAGTCAACACCAAAAGTTGTAATGTGTATTCAGTTATTTTTATTGTTTTGGTGATCAGTGGGTTGTGATTGAGGAAACTGAGATGTTAAGCCTCAAGTGTGAATGTCTGCAGTAAAATTAAAGTCTCAGATTGAATGTAATATTAGGTGGTTAGTGGTTAGTCATATGCCTGTCTATAGGCCTCAAGAAAAAGACTAAAACATGTATTTTATGTCTTTTGTTTTTCTACAGTTATGAAGCCTACTGAATATTTGATGGCTTGAACCAAGGCACTATCTTGCAGTGACATAACTTAGTTTCTATTGACATCCTATCTGTCACACTTAAAGAGGTCCAGACATCATATAACAACATGTAAACTCAGAAAATATAAGCTATACACATATACATTAAAAAATATAATGACAAGCCATTTACATTATGTTTAAGAAATGCCATAAATAAATAAAATAGCACTGTTAGGAATATTGAATATTACTCAAATAATCTATCTTTTCTATATCAAAAAAATCACTTTATGTTTGGATTAACTCTTCAAACAGGATACTATTTTTGGATTTAGCTGTAACATTTTCAGAAGATTGTTCATAGATTTAGGTAATTACCAAAAAGAGTTTCAAAAATACCTAGTATTTATGAATTTAGAACAGTCTTGTCCTAAATATCCAGACATGACCTCAATCATAATGCAAGTAGCTCACCACTGTTTGAGGCTATAAGTGGGTCAAGGTAATAAGTAATTCTAAAATTTGTTCACTCGTGACATAAAGGGGACTATAATCTGGATGTTGCTCTCCCATGAACAGATGATTATTTTTAATAGAAGTATTTCCATGGACCTTGAGTACTAGTGAGATGACAGCAGTGACAGAAGTGTGCCAACAACTTGCCCTTAAGTTGTATTTTAGATTGCTGGAATGAGCGGTGTTTTTCTCTTATGGGATTTAATAGTTGGTTCTTGTGCCGGCACTGTAAGTTTTGCTACTACTTTTGTTTCACATTCTGCATGAATCTAATCATAGGATACTTCACTAGAAATAATCAAAATGAAGAGAAGACACTGGCTATAGTAACTTAAATATAAGATCATTTCATTAAAGTCTTTATAAATCTTCCCTTGAATAACTGCAGGATGACAGCAGAATGTTTTCACTGATTGTGATTGATGTTCATTTTTTATAATCATCTCTGTGATATCATCATATGCCTTTGGAGTTAAAACCTGAAATAGGTTGAAATGTCTAAAATGATGTACACTAAGGTATTTCACATCCCTGTTCTTATCAATAAATGTGCAGAAAGCCCAGCTGCACACATTCCCCCATGCTATTGTAGGGAAGGTTAGAGCATCTCAAAGGAAATACAGCAATACACTGTATCCTGAAGCTGTCTGAAACTCTGGCCATCTCCTACCCCAAATAGAAAACTTGCTTGAAGATAAGAATTTGTATCCAAGTCATCTGCCCCTTTCTAGAACTGTACCAAGGACAAAAGTATCTGTTTATGTACCTACTTGATACTAGAAAACCCACTTTACTTTGATATTTATTTATCATGTGAAGCTTAGTAAGTGTTTTTTTGTTTGTTTGTTTGAGAAGGAGTCTGGCTCTGTCGCCCAGGCTGCAGTGCAGTGGCGCAATCTCTACTCACTGCAAGCTCCGCCTCTCGGGTTCACGCCGTTCTCCTGCCTCAGCCTCCCGAGTAACTGGGACTACAGGAGCCCGCCACCATGCCTGACTAATTTTTTGTATTTTCAGTAGAGATGGGGTTTCACCGTGTTGGCCAGGGTGGTCTCGATCTCCTGACCTCGTGATTAGCAAGTTTTTACTCTGATAGATCAAACTCTGCTTGAGCTTCAGAATAATGATCTAGGAGACAGTCTCTACACAAACCATTGGCTAGACTAAGAAAAAAAGAAGTCTCAAGTAAATAAAATTACAAATGAAAGACAAAGCATTACAACTGGTACCACGGAAACACAAAAGATCACAAAAGACAACTATGAACAATCATACACTAACAGATTGGATCACCTAGAAGAAATGAACAACTTCCTAGACAAATACAACCTACCAAGACTGAATCATCAAAAAAAATATAAAATCTGAACAACTCAATAATGAGTAAGGAGATTGAATCAGTAATCAAAATTCTCTCAACAACAGAAAAAGCCTAGTTCCAGATAGCTTCATGGCAGAATTCTGCCAAACATTTAAAGAAGAACTAATAGCAATTCCTCTCAAATCCTTCTAGAAAATTGAAAAAGAGGAAATACTTCCAAACTTATTTTATAGGCCAGCATTACCCTGATACCAAAGCCAGAAAAAGAAATGGCAAGGAAAGAAAATTACAGGCCAATATTCCCGATAACCATAAAAAGAAAAATCCTCAACACAATACTAGCAAACTGAATTTAACGGCACATTATACACCATGTTCAATGGGATTTATCCCTAGGATGCACAGGTAGCTTAACATAAGCAAATCAATTAATATTATATACTACATTAACATAGTGAAGGATAAAAATTATATGATTATCTCAATAGCAGAAAAAGCATAGGACAGAATTCAACATCCTCTCATTATAAAAAACAGCTAGATAGAGAAGAACTGTACCTCAACATAATAATCTATGACAAGCCTACAGATGTCATACTCACTGGTGAAAAGTTAAAAGCTCTGCCTCTAGGATCAGGAACACAGTAAGGATGCTTATTCTTGCCACTACTATTCAACATAGTACTGGACATCCTATTTAGAGCAATTTTAAAAAAAGGCATCCAAATCTAAAAGGAAGTAGTAAAATTGTCTCTGTTTACTGATAACATTATCTTATATTGGGAAAATTCTATACATTCCACCAAAAATATGTAAGAGCTAACAAATTCAGTAAAGTTGCAGAATACAAAATCAATATACTAAAATCAGTTGCATGTCTATACACTAATAATGAACTATCTGAAAAAGAAATTAAGAAAACAATCTCATTATATTAGCATCAAAAAAGTAAATTACTCAGGCAAAAGTTTAACCAAGGAGATGAAAGATTTGTGCACTGAAAACTATAAAACATTGATGAAAAAACATTGAAGGCACAAATAAATGGAAATATATCTCATGTTCATGTGTTGGAATAATTAGTATTATTAAAATGTTCATAACACCCAAATGCAGTCGCCAGCAAAACTTTAATGGCATTTTTCACAGATACAGAAAAATCAATTCTAAAATTCATATGGAACCACAAATGATCTCAAATAGTCAAAGCAATCTTGAGAAACAACAAAGCTGGAGCAACACACCTCTTGATTTCAACTTATATTACAAGTCAAGAGAGTATGGTATTTATATAAAAACAGATACATAGAGCAATTGGACAGAATAAAGAGCTGATATATAAATTCATGTGTGTATGGTCAACCAACTTTCTATAAGGCTCCAAGAAAACACAATGGGGGAAGGACAGTCACTTCAATGAATGGAAAGTAATGATGGTACTGGCAATTAATGGTACTGAAAAACTGTATACATGCAAAGAATGAAATTAAACTCTTTTTTATTCCATATTCAAAAATTAACTAAAAATTAAAGACAAACATGAAACCTGAAATTGTAAAACTCCAAGGAGAAAACATAGGGAAAAAGCATCTTGACTTGGCAATGATTAGATATTATTTGAATATGACACCAAAAGTACAGGCAACAAAAGCAAATATAAACAAATTAAATTCCATAAAACTAAAAAGCTTCTGCATAGCAAGGAAATAATAAAATGAAAGGGAAGCCTATGAAATGGGAGAAAATATTTATAAACCATAGATCTGATAAGTGGCTAATATCCAAAATGTACAAGAATCTCAGATAACTGAGTAGCAAAAAAAAAAAAAAAAAATCTAATTCAAAAATGGGCAAAGGACCTGAATAGATATTTCTCAAAAGAAGATAAACAAATGGCCTACTTGTATATTAAAAAATGCTGAACATCACTAGTCATCATGGAAATGTAAATCAAAACCACAATAAGATATCACCTCACACCTGTTAGAATGGCTATGATTAAAAAGTCAAAAGATAGCAAGTGTTGGTGAGAATGTACAGAAAATGTAACCCTTGTACACCATTTGTGGAATGTAAATTGATACTGCCAGTATGGAATACACAATCTAGCAATTCCATTTCTCTGTATATATCCAAAGATATTGTAATCGGGACCTCAAAGAGATATCTCCACTCCCATGTTTCATTGCAGTATTATTCACAATAGCCAAGATACGAATACCACCTAAATGTCTACAGATGGATAAATAAAGAAATTGTATTGGTCGGGTGTGGTGGCTCATGCCTGTAATTCCAGAACTTTGGGAGGCTGAGGCGGGTGGATCACAAGGTCAGGAGTTCAAGACCAGCCTGGCCAAGATGGTGAAACCCCATCTCTACTAAAAAAAATACAAAAATTAGCTGGGTGTAGTGGCGAGCACCTGTAATCCCAGCTACTTGGGAGGCTGAGGCAGAGAATTGCTTGAACCCAGGAGGCAGAGTTTGCAGTGAGCCGAGATCGCGCCACTTTACTCCAGCCTGGGTGACAGAGTGAGACTCCGTCTCAAAAAAAAAAAAAAAAGACATTGCATTATATATATATATATATATATATATATATATATATATATATATGTGTGTATATATATATATATGTGTGTATATATATATATATATATATGATGGAATATTAGGCAGCCTTAAAAGAGAAAGAAATTCTGCCATTTCCAACAACATGGATAGACTTGGAGGGCATTATCTTAGGTAAAATAAGTTAGACACTGAAAGAAAAATGCTGCATGATTTCACTTAAATGTGCAATCTAAAATAGTCAAACTTATGGAAGCAGAGAGCAGAATGGTTGTTGCCAGGGGCAGTGTGGAGAGGAAAATGAGGATATGATGGTTAAAGGTAACAACCATGTCTGTTTACCGTTACAGGTAACAATACTGCATTTTATACTTAAAGTTGCTAAAAGGGTAGGTCTTATGTTAATTCTTCTTACAACAACAATAATCACGCCAATAAACCGGGTGTCCAGAAAACTTTGGGAGGTGATAGATACGTTTATGGCTTTGATGGTGGTGATGGTTTTGTAAATAAATACTTATCCCAAAGTCATAGAGATGTACACACTAAATATATACCACTTCATATATGTCAGTCATACCTCAATAAAGTGATTTTGTTTGTTTGTTTGTTTGTTTGTTTGAGGCGGATTCTCGCTCTGTCGCCCAGGCTGGAGTGCAGTGGCGCGATGTAGGCTAACTGCAAGTTCCGCCTCCTGGGTTCACGCCATTCTCCTGCCTCAGCCTCCCGAGTAGCTGGGACTACAGTCACCTTCCACCACGCCCGGCTAATTTTTTGTATTTTTAGTAGAGACGGGGTTTCACCGTGTTGGCAGGATGGTCTCGATCTCCTGACCTCGTGATCCGCCTGCCTCGGCCTCCCAGAGTGCTGGGATTACAGGCGTGAGCCACCGCGCCCGGCCATGATTTTTTTTTAAAAAGGAAATGTTAGAAAAGCTTCATGAAATAGGTAACTAATAAATGGAGCATTTAATAACAGAAGTGTGAATACTGTTTAAATTATTGACTTCATGAAGTGGAGATGATAATATCCACATCATAAATTTGAGTATGAAACAAGATAATATCTGTAGAGTACATAACTCACCACCTAGACTTTTCGTCCCTAGGACAGTTTCTGGCATAGCATAGAAGCCGTAGGATGTTAAATTTGAGAGAGAGTATTCCAGATGTATGGAAAAACCTAAGAAATCATTTTGAAAGATGGAAAGGTTTTGGGTTAAGGAACAGAGATCATTCTGTTGTGGCTAAAACACACCATAGAACAAGTTTGTTAATTCAATAGATTGGAATTCTTTCTTAAACAGACTTTAACTACCAACATAATTAGTAAAGTAACATCAAGTTATAATGTTTCAAAATGGCCTAAAGAAAAAGAAAAGAAGAAGGAAAAAAAGTCGTTGGTATCATACTCAAATCCAAAACAAAATAATGAAACTATCTTGAATTTCAGCTCACAGACAACCATTTATTTTCTTCACAAGTCATAAATTAAGAATTATTTACCTAACCTGTTAAGTTAAAAATACCACTCTATATTCAGAAGATACTTAATGAGATCCAGAAGAAATTGGGTTTTTGTGTGTTTGTGCAAAATGCGGATAATAGTAGTATCTACTTCACGTATTTATTGTGAGGATTAAATAAGTTAATAACTGTAAAGTTCTCAGAACAGTGTCAGACATGTAATAATTTTTCAATAAACTTTAGTTGTTATTATGATGGTGTTTAGCTATTATGATGGTGTTCTAAATGTTGATCCAATGGATCCCAATGTTCACATTATGATAGAAGCAATTGCATAGACTTTGCATTAAACATTTGCAATTATTTTGTGATTGATGGATATCAGAGACAAAGTTTTTAGCGTTGCTTTTCATTCTGTGAGTATTTCTATGATACTTTGGTTTCTTTGAGACATGGTCATTGCCTATTTAAATTCCACATACCCTTCAATGTGCACCTAAACATATCTTTTCAATGAAGTATTTTTTGCCACCAACCCCCAATTCTGTCTACCCCCAACTAACTCCAGTAACATGACATAATTACTATCCCATTGGGAAAAAGTCTGTTCATTCACTGATCTTACTCAGTTTTGTGCGCTCTTTTGATTTTAAAATTCCTTGAGGTCAAGGATTATCTCTTATTCTATTTTTGTTTTTCTTAATGAGTGGAGAAAACCTGTACACTAAGAGTGCTCAGTAAGACTGTTGCATGCTTAGTAGAATTAACACAATTAACATGAGAAGTAGTAACTGGAAATGGCAATAGCAGGAGTAAGTTTTCACTGGTAGGGACAGGTTTTAATAAGAATAAAATATGTCAGGTCATCTATCGTGGGCTATCTATTGTCCCAATTTTGTATGTTGAAATCTCAATCACTAGTACCTCAGAATGTAATCATATTTTATAAAGTGTCTTTATAGGGGTAATTAAAGCTAAATGAGGTCATATGCATGGGTCCTAAATCCAATATGGCTGGCATTCTCATAAGAACAGAAAGAAACCCCAGTGATGTGTGCATACGAAGACAGGACCACATGAAGGCAAAGCAGCAAGAGGGCAGCTGTCTGAAAGCTAAGGAAAGAGGCCTCAGAGAAAACCAAACTTGTTGGCACTTTAATCTTGGATTTCTAGCTTCCAGAAATGTGAGAAGACAAGTTTCTATTGTTGAAGCCAGCCAGTCCCTGGTACTTTGTTATGGCAGGCCCAGCAAACTAATATGCCATCTAAGTTACCTTTCCAACAGATCTATATCAAATTAGTCAAGGTGCTCAAATAAAAGATACTAAATAAGTGAAGCTCCTGAAAAGCATCTTAGCTTCACAGTTATGGGTTGAATTGTACACCTTCCTCACCAGAATTCATTTGTAGAAGTCTTAATCTTCAGTACCGAGAAGGTAATCTTATTTGAAAATAGGATAATTTCAGATGTTATTAGTTAAATTGAGATGAGGTTATATTGGTGTAGGGTAGACCTCTAATCTAATATGACTGGCATCTTTATAAACAGGAGAAGTTTGGGGACAGAAAAAGACATGGGGAGAATGCCATGGAAGTTTGAAGTTATGCACGAAGTTTCTCAATGGTTCAAAACAGGGACTATTAATTCCTGATGACTCTAGTTTCTCTTCCTATAGATTATAATGTTAGTTTATAAATACAATATGGTAGAGTCACAACTTTGAAACTATAAAACTAAGAGATTTGGGATTTAGGTATTCCTTTGCCCCACTTTCAACCTCCCATCTTGCCTTAATGCCACTGAAAACACTCTTGAGATCTAATTAGTAAGTGTGTATTCTGGAACAAGAGAAAAGGAAAAGCAAATTTCACAGGCACATTGCCTTTCTACAGGCTTTTGATGAGCATTTTCAAAGAGAATAATTGTAACTGGTTGTGGGGAATTTATGCAATAACTCAACCTACTCTTAGAAAAGGTATTTGCCTACTAATTGACTGAACATTGAACTAACGGGTGAGTAACAGATGACTAAATAAATACCTATCTATAAGACATATTTGTGGAATCATGCCAGACATGGTGGCTCACTCCTATAATCCCAGCACTTTCGGAGGCTGAGGCGGGTGGAACTCCTGAGCCCAGAAGTTCAAGACCAGCTTGGGTAACATGGCGAAACCCCATCTCTACCAAAAATGCACACCAAAAAATTAGCTGGGCATGGTGGCGTGTGCCCGTAGTGCCAACTACTTGGGAGGCTGAGGTGGGAGGATCGCTTGAGCCCAGGAGGTGGAGGTTGTAGTGAGCTGAGATCATGCTACTGCACTCCACCCTGGATGACCAAGTGAGACCCCATCTCAAAAAATAAAATTAAAATAAAATAAAATAAAATAACATATTTATGGTATCAGGCTGGCCAATCATGGACCATCAGAATATATTTGGGTTTTTTCTCTGAGATAGAATCAGAAATTCTGATCCTTTTTTACTCTCTGCCAAAAAAAAAAAAAAGCCATTTACAATGAAGTTAACAAGGCATGTGATTCAGTGCTCCTTTTTTGCATTAGCCCCTTAGGAGAGGCCCTAGCAACATGTTCCCATGGTCAAATGGTTTTTGTAATACTTTTGGGGAAAAAATGTATTCTTTTTTCTTAAAGAAGGCCCTCGAAATTCAACAAATTTCTGAATCCACTCATCTTTCTAACAGCAACATTCAGAAACGTGAGAGCTTGATGCTGTCTGCCTATGTCTTCAGGAGAATGAAGGTGCAGGACCTAACTGGGCTTAGCTAAATTATGGCCCCATTTAACAGCTGATGGGCTCGCTCATGGGTAAAGAGGCTAGAAGTGCCAATTTTTCAAGAACTGATAAAGAAGATAGAAAGTAATTATTTAGGTAGATAGTGAGGGCAAAAGAGTCCTCAGCAGAACTTCTCTTCTAATAAAAGGCAGCCCAATAAATCATTTTTTTTTCCTAACAAAAAGCAGCCTGAAAGATCGAGCTGAAAGCATAAATAAGGAAGCCAGAAGCTTGCAATGGGGGATGCCTGCAGCTGCACTGATAGAAAACGGCTACCTGGGGGCCAGGCATGTCCACCATGGAAGTTCCATCTTCCCTGTTTTTGTTAGCACAAGTACAGTAAGAAAGAAATGGGCAACATGGAGAAACTCAGGCAGAGAAACCACCTGCAAAATAAAAGATTGGGGTGGGGACTGCCAGAGATTCGTGCCGTATGCAGATGGCACACCTGGTCCTAACTTGTTTTTCACACCATGTGTAGATCAGACACCGCCTCCCCAGTAGCTCATCTATAAAACCCCTTGCATTTCACAACAGAATGGCAACACATTTTTCCATTACCCCTCTCTGTAGCAAAGAGCTATTCTCGTTCTTTCACCTATTAAATTTCTGCTCTTAACTTCACTCTGTGTGTGTCCATGTCCTTGATCTCCGTGGCCATGAGACAACGAAACTTGGGTGTCACCCCAGACAACAAGGCCAATTCAGCATGGCCCCAGAAACTGATAATGTGCTTTCTATGTCACCATTGACAGTTATCTCATACTAGGCCATGTACTCTTTTCCTTAGTTATTTAGCCATTGATATTGCCATCTTGACTCCTGCTATACAGGAAACGTTAAGTCAGAAAAATCAAAGTGGTGTAGACAATGGATTGGGGGACAGGAGAGGAGAGAATAAAAGTAGACTAGAAAATATTTTTTTTTTCTTGAGAGAGAGAGAGGATCTCACTTTGTTACCCTGGCTGGAGTGCAATGGCATGACCAGGGCTCACTGCAGCCTTGATCTCCCTGGGGTCAGGTGATCCTCGCACCTCAGCCTCCTGAGTAGCTGGGACCACAGGCATGCACCACCACACCCAGCTAAATTTTTGTATTTTTTTTTTAGAGACAGTCTCCCTGTGTTGTCCAGGCTGGCCTCAGGCAATCCACCTACCTTTGCCTCCCAAAGTGCTGAGATTACAGGTGTGAGCCAATGTGTCCAGCCTAAGAAAATAATTTTGAATAAGACTTTTTATAGGGAGAAATCAATCGATGTATGAAAATAAAGTTCATCTTAGGGAAATCACAATGGGCTTTTAAAATGTGATTGCCAATGTCTTTTAAAAGATATTCCCTTTCTGAAAAGCTTAAATAATTAATTTTAAAACATATTAGAAATATGTGAAGACTAAGATATGAAAAATCCTACACATGAATGACATAAAATTAAGGAGATGACCAAAGAATTTAAGGCAATGACAAAAGAAAAAAATTTGAATTTCCATTTTAATACTCAAGTCTGATGTTCTTAAAGTTGAGTGAGGCCATCAAAAATGAAAAAAAAAAAATCCCCATCTTGTTTGATTTTACTTTTTTTCATTTCAGTAACTTAAAGCAAAGATTAAAATCTGCCTTATTTTTTTAAAATGACATCAAATGTCCTCTTATCAGAAAACCATTATCTGCTCACTTAATATCTGAAGGTGATAATCAATCAATTTATCACCAGGTGATAAGGTAGCCCTTATTACTGAGTCTAGATATGGTGGGTTCTGACTACTTATAGAATTATTACATAACTTCAACCAAATACTTATAAAAACTTGTGTTAATTAAACCTAGCACTAGTAATTAATTACCAATAGATTTTAATAAATAAACAAATTCAAAATATCATAATAAAAGCCTATGGAATATTCAAAGCAATAAAGGCATTCTATGATAATTAGATCTTTAACTATGGGTATTACACTTAAAATTATTTTTAAATTTTTATTTATCCTTTATGTTCCAAACGCCACTGCCACCCCAAATCCAGAAAATTGCATTTGTTTTTCTGTTCTTCAATTTTCATAAAGGAATAAAATGTAATAACTGTTACATATTACATTTGTACATATCAATATACAAAGATATATTGTATATCTTTCCTAAAATTTATTATAATAATTTTGGGGGGTAAATCTATTCTCCTTTGCATTTTAAGCACATATTTTTCAGATGAATCATTATAGTTTAAATTGTGCATCTAGCTATTACAGTTAAATGTCCATAATTCCCAAAATAAGTTCCAAAGAGTTCCTTAGGAAATGATCTAATTTGACATTCACTCAGAAATTAATCTCTGTGAGTGGTAACTCTCCTTCAGTTAACAATAAAATAGCCTACTGAATTTATTGCGTTTGATTTTGTAAACTGAAAACAAAGGCTGTCCTATAAGCTATACAATTTAAATAACTAGTTTTCCAAATGCCAGTTATTTGCATAATGCTAATAGTACATAATAGATGCACAAAACTTTCAGCTAATATGTGATGTTAATGAGAAATCACTTAACAATAAATTTCTTATTTAAATATCAGTTACTAACATTCATGCTGACAAGATAGAGACCAGTATGAAAAAATACCCTTAAGTATTCAATAAAGAAATCAAAATGTGTTATTTCAATGGTTTGCAGCTTGTTTCTGTCAAGAATAACTGATAATCAGGATAGTGCCAGAAGAAGGGTTCAATTTTCAAGAAGTTGCACCTGTGATTTCAGCTGCTGCAGGTCAATGGCAGACACTCAAGCTGAAATTACAGAAGCTATAAAACTGTTGACAGCAGAACTCAATTTTATTGTCCTCACATTCCAAGCGAGTACATCAGGAATAGGGTTAACCAGTTGCATTCCAGACTGTAGACACCGCTGCTTTACAGAAAGCCATAATTTTTTTGACACTCCTTTTAATATTTGACATTAATTTTTATTTGAATTATAATAGCTATCTTTAATTAAGTACTTATTATATGTCAGGCATCTTACCAGATTTTTATATATTATTTATGATTCACAGATAAACCGAAGCTCACAAGAGATAGTCTGCCCACCTTTCCAGCTACACAGTGATTTGAATTGGCCTGGTTGATTTGAAACCACATTATGCTGTAACCCTCTCCTCATAAGATGCTCCCTCAGAACAGCAGCAATGGCATCACTTGAGACCTTTTAGAAATGCAGAAACTCAGGTATTACCCGAGGTAAAATGAACAAAATCTGCACTTTAACAAGATCCTCACATAAGCCATATGCTCATGCCACTAAAGAAGTACTGCAGGCTGGAGCGGTGGCTCATGCCTGTAATCCCAGCACTTTGGGAGGCCAAGGTGGCTGGATCATTTGACGTCAGGAGTTCAAGACCAGCCTGGCCAATGTGGTGAAACCATGTCTCTACTAAAAATACAAAAATTAGGCAGGTGGTAGTGGCGTGTACCTGTAATCCCAGCTACTCAGGAGGCTGAGGCAGGAGAATTGCTTGAGCCTGGGAGGCAGAGGTTGTGGTGTCACCAGACTGCACTCCAGTCTAGGTGACAGAGTGAGACCCTGTCTCAAAAAAAAAAAAAAAAAAAAAAAGTACTGCACAACACTATTTCATTGAAAGCAATTTAAATGACCCTTATGGAGCTTCTGTATCCTGCCAGTGAATTAAAATCAGTGACCTACTTGCAAACATATACAAACATACCATTCACACTTTCAGTAATATGCAAACTAAGAAGGAGGGCTTGAGAAAAGCAGCATTCTGGAAAGCATTGCTAGGAAGTAAAGGATATCAGATTTGTCCTACCCGAATTCAAAGATATTTCATAATTTAGTGTCCAAATCACAACCATATTGTTTTCTTAGCAAAAATAATTACAGTAACTGTCATGTTTTATTTAAAAATCAATTAAATTTATCATTTGTTTATTCACTCAACCATTTAATGAGAATTTGCTGAATGTTTACAGAGTTGTTCGCAAATTCTAGCTGGCATCAGAAGTACCAGGAGGGCTTGTTCAACCACAAATTGTTAGGCCCCCCACCCCAGAGCTTCTGATTCTGTGAATTTCTAACAAGTATGCAGACTGTGCTAATGATACTACTCCAGGCAGTACTCTTGAAAGCCACTGACTCTGAATATACTAGCCATTATACTATTTTGGAAACTATAATGAATTTGATAGTATTTTTTTCCCTAGAAACTTACATACTATTGGGCAACTACAATGACTACTGTCAAGTTCACGGCCACACCAAAGGTCAAGCTGAGGTCCAGAGGGAGTGAGTGAATGAGCAGAATGAACACTCGAGGGACACAGGCAGGTGAAAGATGATTTTATTCAGCAGCAGCTCTCATCAACAGCTTTCTCTCACACTGTCTGCCCTGTCTCGGCTGCTTAGTCTGGTGGCCTCCACACACAGCTGTGCAGTTGGCTCTCCCTTGCCTTCAGGGCCAGCAGCTTAACTCTTTTTCTCTCTGAGCACGAGCAAGCCGAGCTTGTCCTGGCTCTCCATTGTCTGTCTGCAAAGATGGACATCTCTGGCTTTCTCTCTCTTTCTCTGGGTGCCAGCAGCCTACACAGTGTCAACAGGGCAATTAGAGCTTTCATAGACAATAGTGGCTTAGAGTCAAGTGATGGCCTTCCCTATGTTATGGCTATGGTGGTGAGCTTCTCTATGTTATGTCTAGATGGCTATGATAACAAATGGAGTCATACACCTGCACTCTAAACTTGCTGAGTCACACAGGATGTAAACATCTACCTTGGCCTATCCTTGACCAAAGCACAGCCATGTTCTTTATAACTACGTAAATATGTGTGAGTTAGAAAATGATCATCAAAAAAGGTACAAAATTAATACTACAGGTATTCAAAATGCAGATACATTATTTCTAGCTACAAGATTCAAGTGAAATTTCAAATAATAATGGAAGAAAAATGAAAAAAATGAATTGAAATTTGGGGAGGAGTCAATGTTGTGCTTTTAACAAACTGTGGATACAATCTGGACTTTTAGAATTTTATGGGCAAGGCATTCTTTGGATTAAGAATCACTGAATATAATTTAAGATACAGAAACACAAAAAATTAAGATTGACAGCTGCTTGATCTAGCAATGTTCGATAATTGGAAAATAGAAACTAAGGTTGGAAATAGTACAGGGTGAAATTAAGTACACTGGGCATTTATTATAAATAATGAGATGCTAGTTAAATATTTTAACAGAGCAGAGTTATAATCAGTTCTGGATTTTAGGAAGTTTTATCTGCAAATTATCATAGCTAAATTCCTGTAGCTAGTTTGTGATAGAGGTAGGATTTTAAGCAGTGATGTTTTATTATTTCTCCAAATTTATTATTTCCATTCCTCCATTTTGAAAATGTTTTAGGAAAGGGGAAAAATGATAAAATAGCAGTAAAGCAGGATGAAGAGATGGATGAATGGATATGTAGGTAGATGGATAAATGTGGAGATGGGCATATATATACATATGGATAGATCAATAGAGATAGAAAGATTAAAAAGGAGATAGAAAAGAAGATTAAGTTTGAAGGAGAGAAAATGAAAAGGAAAAATGAAAGAGGGAAACTTGATGGTATACAATATTTTTAAAAGGAAGGAAAGAAAATCAGTGCCACAAGTGGCCAGCTGAGCTATGGGAAAAAATGTTGCTTATTCCCCCACTGTAATAGATGGAAAAGCAGAAGAGTTAAGTGAAGATATAGAGCAAAAAGGTACACAAAAACTTCCTATAAGAGTGTTTATCTGAAAGAGCTTCTTCCCAATAAAGTATAACAGAACAGAAGGACTTTTGGAAAGGGTATGTAGGAAAGTGTCAAGATTAAAAGATGGAGGAATTTGGAGAGTTTAGAATAGAGATGTTTTCAATAGAAGAGTTCTACTAGGATTCATTCACATTATTTTTGTATTCCAAATGAGGAGTTTTATTCCTATAAATCAGACATTACATTAAAATATTACCTTCTAATAGGGCCATTCCATATTTCCTTGTAAAATACCCACCACCTTGTCTCCCCAATTCACATCATCCTGTTTTATCACACCCTGTATTTAAAATTATCTTGTTTATTTACACGCTCATTTCCTACCTCCCTACCATCCTTAATTTATAAAATCCAGAAGAGTAGATACCTTGCCTATCTTTCTTACTGCATATCCCCATTGTCTAGAACAATGTCTGGTAGGGGCTATGAGCCCAAACAATAGTTGTTGAATGAATACTACTTTATGACTTTGCCACATAATTCAGCAATTCCAGTAAAGCATACTCAAGTTGGAGATATGAATAACCGAGATCTAGAGAGTGGCATAATAGTGTGGATAAAATTTAAAAGCAAAAACAAAAAGTGGTTATTCAGAGTACAAGAGATACGTCATAGAACTGCCTGATGTAGGTGCTAGATTTAGCCAGCTAGGGACCCTAGAAGCAAAATACTGAAATAAAGTTAGGTGAGAGAATAGATATGAAAGTTACATCTTGAGAAATGATTCTCAAAGTGTGGTCCAGGTTCAGCAGGATCAACATCACCTGGACAATTGTAAGAAATTCAAATTATCATCCCCACCTGAGAAATACTGAATCAGAGACACCGGGGCTCAGTGTATTTTAACAAGCTGTTCAGCTGCTTCTAAGCCAGGTGAAGTTTGAGAACCACTGCTTTGGCAGTGAGGATAGGCATACCTTGTTTTATTGCATTTCACTTTATTGCTTTCTGCATATATTGCATTTTTCACAAATTGGAGGTTTGTGGCAACCCTGCATCAGGCAAGTCAATGGGTATCATTTTTCCAACAGCATGTGCTCATTTTGTGTCTCCATGTCACATTTTGGTCATTCCAGTAATATTTCAAATTTTTATTATTATTATATCTGTTATGGTGATCTGTGACCAGTGATCTTCAATGTTACTATTGTAATTGTTTTGGGGTGCCAAAAATGCACACATATAAGATGCCAAACTTAACAAATAAATACTGTGTGTGTTCTGACTGCTCCACTGACCAGTCATGCCCCCATCTCTCTCCCTCTCATAGAGTCACCCTCTTCCCCGAAATGCAACAATATTAAAATTAGACCAGTGAAAATCCTACAATGGTCTCTAATTTTTGGAATGAAAAGAAGAGTTTCCTGTCTCTAGCTTTCCAGGTGTGGTGGCATGCACCTGTAATCCCAGCTACTAGGGAGGCTGAGGCAGGATAATTTCTTGAACCCAGGAGGCGGAGGTTGCCATAAGCAGAGATCGTGCCACTGCACTCCAGCCTGGATGACAGAGTGAGACTCCATCCCCCACAAAAAAAGCTAGAAAGGATGAAGCTTAGTGAGGAAGGTGTGTCAAAGGCAGAGATAGGCTGACAGCTAAGCCTCTTGCACCAAACTCTTGGCCAAGTTGTGAATGCAAAGGAAAAGTTTAAGGAAATGAAAAGTGCTGCTCCAGTGAATACACGAGTGATAAGAAAGCAAAATCATCATATTGCTTATATGGAGAAAGTTTTAGTGGTCTGGATAGAAGATCCAACCAGCCACAACACACCCTTAAGCCAAAGCCTAATCCAAAGCAAGGCCCCAACTCTTCAATTCTATGAAGGCTGAGAGGTAAGAAAGCTGCAGAAGAAAAATTTGAAGCCAGCAGAGGTTGGTTCATGAGGTTTAAGAAAAGAAGCTCTATCCATAAAATAAAAGTGCAAGATGAAGCAGCAAGTTATGATGGAGAAGCTACAGCAAGTTATTTAGAAGATCTAGTTAAGATTATTGATGAAGGTGGCACACTAAACAACAAACTTTCAGTGTAGATGAGACATGTATTGGAAGAAGATGCCTGTATACATGAATAATATTCTATGGAAAGTTTATATTTTACAAGTCTCCCTCCACTGGAGGGACTCAGGACAAAATTAGAGTTTATGGAAGACAGAATTTGTACATCAAAAAAGTAGGGCTTAGACTGTTTTATTACTGAGTTATCTTCCAATTTTGAAAGACAATGATTCTAAAAGCCTTTACTCCACATTTAGCCCACTGTAGATAAATACTTAAAATGAAATTTCTTCAAATCTATTCTTTTTATTAGAAAATAATTTAATTTTCTCTAAATTGCAGTCATCTCCATTAGCTAAGAACTGACAATTGAAGGGTTGAACACAACTGCTCTTATTGCATTAACATGGAGACAAGCATCACTTATCTCTACATATTACCTGGTTCTGTTTAAGGAAAATTTGTGCAGGGACTCCAATTTTTCACTTAAAAATTGCAAAAAATAATACTCTGTAATGTTCCATAACAAAAGAAAAAATCAAACTAAATGAAAATAAAAATATTAGCCTAATATGTGGAAATCAGAAATAGGTTTCCAGGATCTCACATAACGCACATTGAGAGTTTTATTAGAATCCTCTGCCAATGAAGTATTGCTTTGCTGTTCAAAATAAATGCTGTAACAGCTTTCCAAATCATCTACATTGCCACCACAGACAATATCTTTGCCAGCCACATCAAACTAACTGGAAAAAAACATAAACAAGTACCAAAATGCATTCGCTAATGAATTATCTTAGGGGAGACCCCCAGAGAGAGCAGCAAAGTAAAATTTAAATTGGTGTCGTGACTGAGGTAGACAACTAGACAGCTGGGAATTATAGTTTGGAAGTGTCAGATAGTGATAGAAACCAAGTGAGCATTCTAATGATCTAATGAGAGACAGACTAAGATTGGGTCAAAGACAAGGTGCCAAAAACTGACAGAAAAGCTTCATTGGGTGTAAATAATTGAGATAAGTAAGTAATTCTATGAAGTTTCATGGTCAGATGCAGATACTTTTCATTTGGTTATTCTGTGACGTTCACTTATGGCAGAACTACATGATCCTAAAACACTTAAATTTACCAAATACAGATAATCCAAATTATCTGGGACTTCCTCCATCTTGCTTTGAGGCAAGAACCACTTTCTCATATTGTTTTTGGAAATGGGAGGATTGATTTTCATAAGAGAGGGTTTGGGTTTATCAGAGCTGGTCCTACAGTCTTTGTCCAGAATGTGTTGGTAAGTTTAAAACAATAAGGTCCTCAGAAAATGAAGGCCTGAGCTGGAAACAGAGTAAAAACATGACTCTTTGTGTATACTCAGGTGTTTGCTACATAAACCTGGATTAACGTACATTTGTCAGAAAGTTTAATAGATATCAATTTGACCTTACTATTCTGCAAATAAGTTATAATAAAAACACAAATAGTATATTTAGGATCTATCATTTGGCTATGTAGAAGGTTGAAAACAATGTCTTCTACGTAAGTATTTCATAGTTTTTAAAGTTAAGACTTGTTAATCATGTACTCACCAACTGTGAGATTTACAATATACATAGCACGCTTTTGTGGCTTTATACCCACACAAAATCAGATTCTTTAATACTTGTTTTCAATTGGTATACCTATCTATAACAAAAATTATGTAATTGCCTTTCCAATATAATTATCTTTGAAAAACATCTGCTCAACCAAATTTTTGCTCTCAAAGAACATATTTTTGTTGTTGTTTCAATTATGAAACTTTCTTCACATATTGGAGTCATGACTATTATGACAATTTGCAATCCTCACTATTGGCATATTGTGGGACCTAGACATATCCGGATGCTGAATTTGTCTTGTGGGCTTACAATGGCCACAGATGTTGATGCTAATAATATAACAGTATGGCATGGTTAGTCATCTAAATGAACTAGTAAGAATATGAAATATGTACCAAGTAAAATTACTGCAATGCTATAGTAATATAGTAATATTTTCCTGTTTCCTTTTGTGTTGTGTTTTTCAGGTTTGAGTAATGAACCAATACCTTTCAAATAGTATTCTCTTTATCATTGATAAAGTATTCCTAAAGTCAAATGAAAGTTCCAGAATCTTATCTACTCAAAGAAATTATACATTATGAACTTAACTAATAATGATGAAATTTTCAATCATTTTGTTCTTTTTAAAATGACTTTTCTCATTCTAAAGGTAATATATATACGTCTTTGAAAAAGCTAGGTGCAAAGCATGAAGAGTAAGTAAACTTAAAATTTGCATAAGTAAATGAAGAAAATACTCAGTTCTGCAAAAACAGAAAACAATTGCTTAATCACCTCTGTCCTACCATAGGACAGAGGCCAGGGATCACAGAGCACTTAGATAAAATGAAAAGAGAACACTCTTGATGTACATAAACAGAGATAAAGTCTCACTCTTTTTGTACATATGGAACATTACAGAGTATTATTTTTTGCAATTTTTAAGTGAAAAATTGGAGTCCCTGAAAAGTTTGGAGTCTGAAAAGTTTGCTGGGGAAAGATGTGTTTATTAGACTGAAGAACTGAGTTTTTGAGCAAATAATTTGTCTGGTTATTAAAAATCATATTTTAAATTAATGCACAAGATATTCATATTGTCTGATTACGTATAGCATTAGACAATCTCTACAAAATTTTTCAAATTATTAGTCAGATGTAGAGTTCATAATTTCTAGTGATGGGGGTTCCAGGTAGGTAAATCATGAAAAATTACTTATTTCTGAATTACATTATAACTTATAAAAATGAAAATATTTACCTTTTAAAGAATATTGTGAGCAAATATATATCTAGCATAAACAGCTGTCTTACTACACACACACAGCAAATGTCACAATACTGTTTTAGAGTTGCATTCCAGAGAGAAATATTTCAAGGACACCATGGCAGTTGACGCAGGTGAAAAAGGAATGGTGGCTACTACGTGAAGAGAATTTTTAAATCCAAATATGCGCACAATGTTCAAATACCATAGCAGCACAGAGCAGCTGCTCAGGGAAGTCTTGGAGGGTTCTTACTTTAAGTTTATTCGGCCCTTCCTTTTCTATCTTTCTAAGGTGTTGGTTTAAAACTTCTGACTTTAGACCTTTCTTATTTTCTAATGTAAGCATTGAGATCTCTTTAGTTTCTCTTGATAATAGTTTCTGTATACAATTTTTGCTAATATTTTATTTGATTTTCTCTTAGGCAGTTGGAACATTTTTTAATGTTACTCTAAATATTATCTTTCAACATCATATTTTGAACGTTTAAAGGGAATGAGTTGGAGAAACAGCTTTCAATTAGATTACATACCCCAGTATTTTGTTAATACTAAAATTCTAGAAAGAATCTTCTAACAAATATTCATAAGTGATGATGAAATTTAAAGAAAACAAAATACTTCCCCCTCAAAAGAAAAAAAAGTTTATTTAAAACCCTATAGAATGATACCTTCTGGAAGACCCAGTGGCCTAATGGATAGGGCATTGGCCTCCTAAAATGATCCCTTCTCATGTAAATGCTTCTCGATCGAAAATTACCATCACCCAAGGAAAAAGTTATTCATATCTAATAACCATAAGTTCTTTTAGCATAACTGGGATTTCCTCAACCTATTCATATAAATGAAATCACATTTCTAACAGTAATTCAAATTTCGCTGGTTCTCACCCACATCTAGCCATATAAGAATTTCAGTAATTTGAAAATGCTTGCCCCATATTCCTTCTCCCTGCTTAATTATCCTGTGAGTGACCAGAAAACCTCTGACAATTGGTACACTATCCAGTCAGTTCCTGTGAGGTGCTTCCATTACCCACCCAGGTCTGCCACAATTCTGCGAGGATAGCTGCTGCTCACCAGATACCACCAAAGACTGTTTTTGTGCAGGAAGATGTGGTGGTGAATCCTGGGAGAATTCCTCTGTGACCTGTCTTTTCCACTCTGCTAAGAGGATTTAAAAACCTTGATGCTTATGCATCAAAATTTTAGAGAACTTTATTTATAACTCCTCTACATTGTATAGGATCCAGTGGGGAAAGGAGGGAGTCAGAAGACAAATCTAAATGTTAGAAACTATAATATTACCAATTATTAACTACTGAAATATATCTTAATAATTTTACATAATTTTCTTTACAATTTTCCAAACCCACAGGCAGATTTGTGTAAATATATTTGACATTATATATGGTGTGTGTGTGTGCATGTGAGAGAGAGACAGAGAAAGAGAGAAAGATGGAGGGAAACATATTAGTCTCACATAACATGAGAGTAACATAAGCAGAATTTTTTTAAAAAGAACAGAAAGTTCTATTGCTATCCAAAAGTTCTTATAAGGAGAAAGGGGAAACCTTCCCACTTAGGTAGAAATGTATACACCTGCACAGACACAGACACACACATGCATGCAAAACACATAAAAAGAGAGAGTTGGCTGTCATTCATATTCCATAATTTGAGAGATATTGATGAGACATTTATCTCACAATTTTCCTAAAACCGAAGTCAAAAGTTCTAAACATTTAGATTCATCTGTCTCAAGTTTTTACAACTCGTTTTACATTGAGTATGAAATTATTGATTAGGTGTATCCAGAGCACCATGGCCAGGAAAGATACATAAAACACTTAGGGAAGAAGTGTGGTATCAGCCATCCATTAGCTCAAAGAAGTTCCTTTGTCCAGCAAATCTGAGTCAGGAAGATACTCTTCCTGTAAGGGGGTAGAAAACACTCCTGCCCAACTCCACAGCATGGGCAGAACGCAGGAGCAGTGGCCAGGGATCACAGAGCACTTAGATCAAATGAAAAGAGAAGTCTCGCTCTGTCACCCAGGCTGGAGTGCAGTGGCGCGATCTTGGCTCACTACAAGCTCCGCCTCCCGGGTTCACGCCATTCTCCTGCCTCAGCCTCCCAAGTAGCTGGGACTGCAGGTGCCCGCCACCACGCCCGGCTAATTTTTTTGTATTTTTAGTAGAGACGGGGTTTCACCGTGTTAGCCAGGATGGTCTCGATCTCCTGACCTTGTGATCTGCCCGTCTTGGCCTCCCAAAGTGCTGGGATTACAGGCATGAGCCACCGCGCCCGGCCGAGAACGCTCTTGATGTACATAAACAGAGATAAAGTCAACTCTGTGAAATGTGCAGCATTTTTCACAGCAAATCGGAGGGAAAAAATGCCCTATAGATTTCCTCTGACAAAACTCTGGCATTTAAATTGAACTTTGATTTCTGCACTAAATGGCACATATAATGTCACTTTCTCCTGAAAATCCAATAAATCTACAGTAAAGAATTTTTTTAAAGCATAACCTGAGAAGCACGGAGGAACAGCAAATGATACAGCAGAAGACAAGTGGCAGAAAAGGTGATTGATAGAGAATATCCAAGAAAACCAAACCTTAGTTCAGCTAGTGAAGAAAGCTGAGAAATAATTTAGTTTATATCAAAGAATGCTTAAGTTTTATGGACTTATACATCAGATACCTCTCTAACTGGGAAGTCAGGGAAGCATAAATATAAGGAGGATTAGGTTAACGTTGTTTGAGAAGCATTAAACTTGCCATTTTATATTTCTTGAGAAAAGTCTCCCTCCCCATTGCCTCATCATCATTACTTTTTCTGAAGATGTATTCATTAGAAAGGATGTAATGAAAAGTCTTTGCAGTGGATTATGGTAGACGGGCTCTAACCTAAAACAGAGGGATTAGTGAACATATGCATCCAGAATGCCAAATGCCAAAGACCAAAGACCCCTTCTTTTATAGTTTGGATTTGTGTCCCTGCCCAAATCTCATGTCCAGTTATAATCCCCAGTGTTGGGGGTGCAGCCTGGTGGGAGGTGATTAGATCATGGGGGGTGAATTTTTCATGAATGGTTTAGCACTATCCCCTTGATGCTGTTCTCATGATAGTGAGTTCTCACAAGATCTGGTTGTTTAAAAGTGTGTAGCACCTCCCCACCTCACTCTCACTCCTGCTTTTACTGTGGGATATGCAAGCTCCCACTTGGCCTTCCACGATTGTAAGCTTCCAGAGGCCTCCCCAGGAGCAGATGCTGATGCTGTGCTTTCCCGTACAGCCTGTAGAACTGAGACATTTAAACCTCGTTTCTTTATAAATTACCCAGTTTCAGGTATTTCTATATATCAATACGAGAGCTGACTAACACACCTTCTAAAAAAACTTTCAGAAAGCTGATAGCCCAACTGTTAGTCTCCATGTAAAATACAGAAAAAAATTCTCTGGGGAATCTGTCAAGCCCAAGAGAAACACCTACACATACAGACCTAAGTTTCCAATAAAGTTATCACCTAGATTATCCTAGAACAACGTTTCTTAACAGTGGCATTATTAACATTTTAGACTGGATAATTCTTTGTTGTATGGGGCTGTCCTGGGCATTGCAGGATGTTTAATAACACCCTTGGCCTCTTCCCTTTAGATACCAGTAGCACTTCCCCTCTCTGATTCATGATGATGAAAAATGTCTTCAGGCATTGCCAAATATCCTGTGAGAGGCAAAATTACACTTCGTTAAGAATCAGTGCCTTAGAGTGACACTTTAACCATCTTCCCACATCTCCCACTCTCACCTTAATTAGAAATACCAAGTATCTGAAGAAAATCTCTACATAGAAAATAGAAATCAAAATAAACAAAGAACAAAAATAATAGAAAAACAGACTATGAGAAGAAAGTTTCAAAATATCTTTAATATAATTTGAGAGATTAGTCATTGCTTTAATACAGCAGTCATGAAGTCTTTAGAAATCTCTATCGAGAACAAATATGAGTTCCTGAAAATTAAAAATAAGACAAATTGAAGGAAAAAATAGATGGATTAGAAGACAAAGTTTAAATATTAAAGAAATATATTAAAGCGAAGAGAAAATAGTTGAGAAAATATATTAAATCCAGAAGAGTAGTTTTTGAGGCACAACCTCTAAATAGGGGCTCTTGAAAAAGATAAAAAACTAAGGAGGACAAGGGATAAAAGAAATATTACAAGATAATTTTTGAGAAAAATTCGAGAACATCTAGTATTAAAGGACATGAGCCTCCTGACTGATCCCCGCAAAATGCATAAAGATAGTTCCAAGCCAAGGTACGTCACAACTCTCTGAACACCTGTGTCAGAGACATACTACAATCAGTGCAAAATAAAAGAGACCAGAGTGACTTCATATTCTCCACAGTAACATGGCTGCCAGGGCTCCCATGACAAAATTCCACAGATTAGGTAGCTGAGATGGTTTGGATGTTTGTCTCCTCCATATCTCATGTTGAAATGTGATCCCTGATGTCAGAGTGGGGAGTGTTCAAGTCACAGGGTCAGTCCTTCATGAACGGCTTGGTGCCCTCCCCACAGTAATGAATTCACGCAGGAGATGGCTGTTTAGAAGAGCCTGGCATCTCTGTTGCTCCCTGTCTCACCTTGTGATATGCCAGCTCCCCTTCCCTTCCACCATGACCAAAAGCTTCCTGGGCTTGACCAGAAGTCAAGCAGATGCTGATGTCATACTCGTACAGCCTGCAGAACCATGAGCCAAATAAACCTCTTTTCTTTATAACTTACCCAGCCTGAGATATTCCTTTATAGCTATGTAAATGGACAAATACAGTAGCTTAAACAAGAGAAATTTCTTTTCTTACAGCCTGGCAGTTAGGTGTCCAAGATATAAGTGTTGGTAGGTTTACTTTCTCCCAAGGCTAATCTCCATGACTTGCAGGTGGCTGCCTTCTCACTGCATTCTCACATGGTCAGTCATATTAAATTAAAGCCCTATGCTTATCTCATTTAACCTTATACCTCATTAAAAGCCCCATCTCCAAATATGGTTACATTGGGAGTTAGGGCTTCAACATATGAAACTGAGGGGGACATAATTCAGTCACTAACATATGGGGAGCTGAAATACAAGAGCAAAGTACCTTCCAAACTCTGAAGAATAATAACTTCCAACCTAAAATGTTATCATCACTTTAAAGAATGTATTGAGTATATTTAGAAAACCCCATCGTCTCAGCCCAAAATCTCCTTAAGCTGATAAGCAACTTCAGCAAAGTCTCAGGATACAAAATCAATGTGCAAAAATCACAAGCATTCTTATACGCCAATAACAGAGCAACAGAGAGCCAAATCATGAGTGAACTCCTATTCACAATTGCTACAAAAAGAATAAAATATCTAGGAATCCAACTTACAAGGGATGTGAAGGATCTCTTCAAGGAGAACTACAAACCACACTGCTCAACTCAATAAAAGAGGACACAAACAAATGGAAGAACACTGCATGCTCATGGATAGGAAGAATCAATATTGTGAAAATGGCCATACTGCCCAAGGTAATTTACAGATTCAATGTCATTCCCATCAAGTTACCAATGACTTTCTTCACAGAATTGGGAAAAAAAAAAAAACACTAAAGTCCACATGGTACCAAAAAAGGGCCCACATTGCCAAGATAATCCTAAGCAAAAAGAACAAAGCTGGAGGCATCACGCTACCTGACTTCAAACTATATTACAAGGCTACAGTAACAAAAACAGCATGGTACTTGTACCAAAATAGAGATATAGACCAATGGAACAGAACAGAGGCCTCAGAAATAACACCACACATCTACAACCATCTGATCTTTGACAAACCTGAGAAAAACAAGCAATGGGGAAAGGATTCCCTATTTAATAAATGGTGCTGGGAAAACTGGCTAGCCATATGTAGAAAGCTGAAACTGGATCCCTTCTTTACATCTTATGCAAAAATTAATTCAAGATGGACTAAAGACTTAAATGTTAGACCTAAAAACATAAAAACCCTAGAAGAAAACCTAGGCAATATCATTCAGGACATAGGCATGGGCAAGGACTTCATGTCTAAAACACCAAAAGCAATGGCAACAAAAGCCAAAATTGACAAATGGGATCTAATCAAACTCAAGAGCTTCTGCACAGCAAAAGAAACTACCATCAGACTGAACAGGCAACCTACAGAATGGGAGAAAATTTTTGCAATCTACGCATCTGACAAAGGGCTAATATCCAGAATCTACAATGAACTCAAACAAATTTACAAGAAAAAAACAAACAACCCCATCAAAAAATGGGCAAAGGATATGAACAGACATTTCTCAAAAGAAGACATTTATGCAGCCAAAAGACACATGAAAAAATGCTCATCATCACTGGTCATCCGAGAAACGCAAATCAAAACCACAATGAGATACCATCTCACAACAGTTAGAATGGCGATCATTAAAAAGTCAGGAAACAACAGATGCTGGAGAGGATGTGGAGAAATAGGAATGCTTTTACACTGTTGGTGGGACTGTAAACTAGTTCAACCATTGTGGAAGACAGTGTGGTCATTCCTCAAGGATCTAGAACTAGAAATACCATTTGACCCTGCCATCCCATTACTGGGTATATACCCAAAGGATTATAAATCATTCTACTATAAAGACACATGCACACATATGTTTATTGTGGCACTATTCACAATAGCAAAGACTTGGAACCAACCCAAATGTCCATCAATGATAGACTGGATTAAGAAAATGTGGCACATATACACCATGGAATACTATGCAGCCGTAAAAAAGGATAAGTTCATGTCCTTTACAGGGACATGGATGAAGCTGGAAACCATCATTCTGAGCAAACTATCGCAAAGACAAAAAACCAAACACTGCATGTTCTCACTCATAGGTGGGAATTGAACAATGAGAACACTTGGACACAGGAAGGGGAACATCACACAGCAGGGCCTGTCATGGGGTGGGGGTATGGGGGAGGGATAGCATTAGGAGAAATACCTAATGTAATTGACAAGCTAATGGGTGCAGCAAACGTACATGGCACATGTATACATATGTAACAAACCTGCACGTTGTGCACATGTACCCTAAAACTTAAAGTATAATAAATAAATAAATAAGAATGTGCTGAGTGGAAAAATGGATCAAAGACCCTTTCAATTTACTTACTACAGCCCACAAAAGTCATATTTATCCTGCCATCTACTACTCGTTAACCACCATGTTGGTTTTCTACCACACAACTAGCAGGTCGCAACATTCATGATCAAATTTAAAAAAAAAAGTCACTTAAGGGAATTTTAGCAAATGAGGAACAAAATTTACCCCTGCTCCCCACCAACCCCAATTTGAAACAAGTGGTTCTCATGTGGGAACTAAGAATTCAGAAGAAAACATAACAAGACTCCCAAGGGGATCTCCAGAGAGACTAGCTTAGCAACTGAAACATTTGACTTTTTAAATTAAAAATTACATAAACAAATTGGCATGTGTTCACCACTAATAACCAGATTTGTGGTAAGACTTAGTGTAAGAAATATCACAACCAGAGGGAAACATCATCACTCACACACACACACTGTCAGTGCACAAAGACAGAAAATGAAATTTTAAAAAAGCATTAGAGTACAGTTCCAAAAGCCTTACAGTACTGATAATAACATATGAAAAAAAAGAAACAAAATTCAAAACATAAGATATTTTTTCTTGACTTGAAAAGAAAAAATCTGTGTTGCCTTCAGGAAAAAAGAATGTTGCCAAATCTTACTAAGGATTGTGCTATGGTTTGAATTTCCCTCCAAAACTCATGTTGAAACTTAATCCCCAATTTGACAGTATTGAGAAATAAGGCCTTTAAAATGTGATCAGATCTTAAAGGATTAATCCATTGGGTTAACAAAGTATTGGTTTACTATGAGAGTGGAACTGATAGCTTTATAAAAAGAGGAAGAGACACCGGAATAAGCACTTTCAGCCTCCTTGCCAAGTGAAACCCTGCACCCCTTCAGGACTCTACAGAGTCCCCAGCAGCAAGTAGGCTCCCACCTGATGCAGCTCCTATACCTTGAACTTCTCAGCCTCCATCACTGTAAAAAATTAATTCTTTTCAGTATAAATTATTCAGTGCCAGGTATTCTGTTATAAGCAATAGAAAACACTAAAACAGATTGATAAGGAAAGAAGTAAACTCGACATATTTGGGTAAAATTTACATACTAATGATAAAGAGAAAAACAGGTTAATAGAAAGAATGGATTATTTTAAAAACTAAAAGAATCTGTCATAGGATGGCTCAATATCTGCCACACTGAAAGCTAAAAAACCTGAAATAATATCTATAGACTACTGAAAGAAAGAAGATTGCATTCCAAAGAGCCTATGCCCAATCAAAATATTAATCATCCCAAAGACATGTGAAGATTCAGAAATTATGTGGCTCATATGCTTATTCTGAAGAAAATTATAGGTGAAGTGCTGTTACCAAATAAAAATTAAATAATTTGTTTTACTGGGAAAAATAAATGAAATAAACATAATAAAAAAAGAATATTGGTGTATATTGTTGTTTCTTTTTTTTTTCCGTTTTTTTTTTTTTTTTTTTTTTGAGAAGGAGTCTCACTCTGTCACCCAGGCTGGAGTGCAGTGGTGCGGCCTCGGGTCACTGCAACCTCTGCCTCCCAGGTTCAAGTGATTCTTCTGCTTCAGCCTCCCAAGTAGCTGGAACTACAAGCGCACGCCACCACACCCGGAAATTTTTTTGTATTTTTAGTAGAGACGGGATTTCACAGTGTTAGCCAGGATGGTCTCAATCTCCTCACCTCATGATCTGCCCTCCTCAGCCTCCCAAAGTGCTGGGATTACAGGTGTGGGCCACTGTGGCCAGCCTATTGGTAAGTTTCAAAAGGTTATAGCTAATGTGATCAGAAATTTGTAACGTAAAGTTTAAGTCAAGGTGTCAGACATTGTTGCTAGTCAACAATATACAGTTCTTTCCTGGACACATGCTTCCTTGGGAGGACTCTGCTTTCTTAACTCCTTGGTGAGGCATGGCCATGTGACTTGCTTTGGTAAGTAGAAGCAATCTGTGCCTCTTTCATGGAAAAGCATTTATTTGCCATCTTCTGTTCTGCAATGTGTTCTTCTCCTCCTGCAAAATGAAAACATGTATTGATGTGACGATGCAGAATCTCACATAAAGGGCAACTACCCTGAGACTCACCCTACACCTGGTGTATTAGTCCACTTTCACATTGCTGTAAAGAAATATCTAGAGACTGGGTAATTTATAAAGGAAAGAGGTTTAATTGACTCAGCTCTGCATGGCTGGAGAGGCCTCAGAAAACTTGCAATCATGGTGGAAGGCGAAGGGGAAGCAAGTTTGGACCTTTTTCACATGGTGGCAAGAGAGAGAAGCGTGTGAGTGAAAGGGGAAGAGCCCCTTACAAAACCATCAGATCCTGTGAGAACTCAGCCACTATCATGAGAACAGCGTGGGGAAAACTGCCCTCGTGATCCAGTCACCTCCCACTGGGTTCCTCCCTTGACACATGGGGATTATGGGGATTACAAATCGAGATGAGATTTGAGTGGGGACACAGAACCAAGCATATCACTTGAGAAATAAATAAACAAAGCTTCGTTGACTATAGTATAATCTGGATTTCTCTCACCAATATAGTACTATTTCTTGAAACTCATATACTCTAAATGGACACCTAATAATGGCCTAGTACTTAGTGTTCTAAATCGTCTCAGCAAAACCTGGAACAGATGTGGAGGTGGGAGAGAAAGAGAAGAGGAGTGGAGGCAAGAAACAATGAATGTGGGAAAGTAAGATAATTTAAAGGTCTCATCTGGGGAGACAGAAGAGAAAACTGAAATAAACTTACTATTTTCTTTTAATATTATAATGGAGAAATATTGTTTAATTAGAAAAGTAAAAGGAACTACTTACAGAATTGAAAATTACAGTAGCATGTTCAAATGAAAATGGAATAAAGGAATAAATTGGAGCTTGAACAAGCCAGAAAAAGTAAAATGAGGGAGAAAAAAGCAAAAACAACAATAAACATAAACAAAGGAACACATAAGCTTAAAAAGAGTGCTTTCAATAAAACCAATTAAATCTATATTGATGCAATCCAAACATGCTGAGTTATGCTATAAAAATCCTAGACTGTTAAATAGGGTTCTAAAAACTAACCCCAGTTATATTTGTTTACAGGTAACAAATTAAGCAGTAAAAAAAAAAAAGTTGAAAATGAAAAGAATAAACACAGATAAAGAAATTTCAAACGAGTACAAGAAGAAGTAAAAACATATTACCAGAAAGAGGATTTCAAGGTCAAAAGCATCAAAAATAGAGAAAAAAAGTATTTAAGAATAAACTGTGTAATCTACATAGAAAGTATAGCAATATTCTCTTAAGCATCAAATTGTATTGCAGTTATATATATATCAAGCAAACACCCCTAGAAATAAAAGGTCAATGCAATAAAAGTACAATTATAGTGTGAGGTTTTAATACACCACTTTCAGAATTTGACAGGTCCATCAAACCATGAATAAATACAGAAGACACAATAAACAAGCTCAATTTAGCATACCCATAAAAATAGTATTGTTCTTCATGTTATGTATTGCTATTCTGTATCTACAAAGGAAAATTTAATAAGATTTCAATAAAATACATATTTGGCGGGCAATATTTCCTGCTCGATTGTGATATAAGAAAGCTTGAAAAATAAGCAAAGTATTAAACAAATATTAATTATAAAGACACTGAGGGACACCTTCTTAAAAATCCATGATAAAATGGCAAAACCAAAACTGATATTGTGATTTATCCAGAAAGAGAATCATCCACTCAAGAAGCAGAAACCTAATAAACACAAAGCAAGATGCTCAACTTTCAGGGAAAAGCAAATTAAAGCAATAAATACATACCATATTTTAGATATTAATTTTAAAAAAGGAAGTGCAATACATTCAATGCTGAGGAATAACAGGATGAAAACTGCTTTCTCATACTTCACTGTCAGAACTACAAACTAATACACTTTTGTGAAAAATATATAGTATCCTTTAACCATGTTTAGAAATAACTCTATATCAGAAATTGAAATAAATACTTAAGATTATATTTTAAAGATTTCTGGAAGTATTTCTGTGAAATAAAAGACCAAGGAATATCTGAAAAACCCATTAAGAACAGAATAAAAAAATTAGTTGTGTTACATTTATTCTATGCAATACTATGCAATTATAACAAAATAACTTTGGAAAAGAAGTGTTTCTTTTGATTTAAAGGAATATTGATGATGAATTGTTGAATAGGAGAAAGAAGTTGCTGATTAATGTTATATAATGTTGATCCTATTTCTGTAAAATCAAACAATAGGCCCACATATTCTTAAAAAACTCCTTCATATGTGCATTTTTATATGACAGTGGAAATGTGAAAGAATACACAAAAGCTGTTAATAAAATATCACAGTGTAAGCATGAAAATGGATATTACAAGTTTAGACATACATTATTTTTGAGAAATTTCAAGAGAAATTTTAAAAATATAAGAGATTTCAAATATCTGTAGTAATCAAGGCATAAATGTCTTAAAATGCACAATCTTTGGAGTTCAATATATTTGACTACTTAATTAATAAATATATTCTTATTATAACTTTCTTTTTAAATGCTGCTTGCTAATAACTGAAACATGGACAAATGCAAAATAATCCTGTGACTTCACAGCGCTGAATTAGATCTCAACTGTAAATGGCTCTCTCTCCTTACAGCAAGCTATTTCAATCATTGCAAACTTTTAGAACAAATTGAATAGTGACTTCAATTTTAATTTAATTTGTATTAATATAGCTCTTTTTTGTTTCATAGAAAGTGTATCATTCAGAATTCAATAAGAAAAGTAAATACACTAAGGAAAAACAAACTATACGTGTGTGTGGGGGTGTGGGTGTTGGTGTGGGTATATATATATGTAAAATACACTGATATGTTATATATAATGTATATTATATACTGGAATATATAATTGTATATTATTAAAACTATACATTTTTTGCATATTTTATACCATAGTTAAAAAACTTCTATAAGACAAATCCCTTTAGTAAATCCATATATGTGGTTAAGCAATCTCTGCAAGGCTGCTGTCTTCACACCTGATGCTAGTCCATAGAGCCCATAGCCAGAAAGTGAGATGGATATAAAACAAGGGAATTCACAAGGTTAAAAACCACATACATGAGGTGGAATTCCATCAGTAAGATTTGAAACCAGCAGTTTCTTCTAAGAGCATGGTCTGAGTATCCTGCAGAAATTGAGGACCATCCTCATGGAGCTAAACACAATACACCATGACTTGTCAGAGAAGCTGAGAGATTCAGGAGATAACAAAGCAGTTGCAAGTCCAGCAGTTGATTCAGGCCACCAAGGAGAGTCTACAAATCAGCAACAATTGGTATGAGCTACAGAATGTCTGCTGTTTCCTTTCTGTCCTCTAAATTTCCCAAGAATATCCCTTGTAAGTCACCTAAATGGAAATATACAAAAGGGAATTCTAGGAAACATAATTCAGCTCAGCCAGTTTGACACATGAAAAAGCCACCACAAAGTATATATGGTTTTAGATAAGAGCATGGCATCTGAAGAGAGACTACCCAAGTTCAAATCCCTTCACCACCAGTTACGAATTGTGTGAACCAGGAAGTATAATTGTTACTTACTATAATTCGAAACTTTTAAAATAATAAAGTCTGAATGATATGGTTTTTATTAACATGAAACTTTCTCTTTAGTTTTGTCAGCCCAATTTTCTTGCCTTGTGGAAGACATGATATTCCAAACCATGGGTTGGAAAACAATGACTCATGGACCATATATGCCATGTGGCCTGTTGTTTTTTGCTCACAAGCTAAAATGGTTTTTATATTTTTAAAGGTTGTGAAAAAATGAATATATTACAGAGGCTATATGTGGCCTTCAAAGCCTAACATATTTACTATGTGCCTTTTTAGATAAAGTTTGCCAATCCCTATTGTAAAAAACCAGTGCTAAGTAATAGAACGTGAACCACAAATATGAGTCACATATGCATTTCTAAATTTTCTAGTAGTCACATTTTAAATAGTATAAATGAGACAGGTGAAATTGATTTTTATTTCTATTTTTTATTAACCCAGTATCTCAAAAATATCTCAATATGCAATCAATGAAACATTATTAATAAGATATTTTAGGACATTGGCAAAATGGCAGAATGTTAAATCCCCTAGCATCTCTTCAAACAAAAATACAACTAAAAACTATTCCAAGGCAAGAATACCATTCTGAGTTCACCAGAACTCAGTTGAGAGAAGTGGAAAACCACCCCCAGGCCAACAGAATGGAGAGAACCCACAACTGGTAAGAGAAACAGTCACTTTGGAGCATCAGCCATGCCCACATAACACCACTCACAGAGAATTTCCCTAGAACCATAGTTTCCAAGGGAAGAGGAGGAAAATGGAGGTGGATATTTGATCTCCCCAGCAGTTTGGGAATTTTTATAGAAAGCCAACTCCAGTTGCATACATGGGAAACACTGGGAGTGCCATGAGGGATAACCCACATGGAGTAAACTGGGGACAGAGAGGACACTGATAGTAGTGAAGAGCATGCCGATCTTGGCAGCTACTCTGTGCTCTTATCAGCAGGGCATCATGTGGAAGAGACTGGCTAGTGCTATGCCACTGTACGAGGCACAGTCCACAAGAAGGCCCAAATCCCTGGCCAGACGTTCAACAAAGCCCAGATGCTCCTAGGGAGCCGTTTTCTGGCTTGGAACTACTAAAAGATCAGGATTAAGTTCCAATTCCTGCTTAAGGTTTCCCCAGACTAGTAAACAATGAAACGGCATCAGTACAATTCTGGGGAGACATTTATATTCCAGTGCTCACCACAAGTCTCCTCCAGACTGGGAAAAGATACCAGGGCAGCGATTTAGTTCCAGAGCAGAGTTTAAGGTTTGGTGTTCATTGTGAGTTTTTTTCCAGACCAGAAAACAATGACAAGGCAGTAAGTTAGTTCCAAGGCAGTGTTTTAGTTCTGCTACTCACTATGCGTATTCTTCAGAATGGAAAGAAACAACGGGCCAATGTTTAAGTTCCAATAGTAAGGAGTAAAGTTCTAACACCAGCAAAGAACACTGCATAAAATGAAAGAGGTGGTTGCCTCCTCTAACGCACAGGCATCGATGTAAAGATGCAAGGATCATGAAAGCTCGTGGAAACATGGTATCATCAAAAGAAACCAACAAAACTCCAGCAGTTGGCCCCGAAGAACTGAAGATCTATGAAATGTTAGACATAGAATTCAGAATAAGGATCTTAAATAAGTTCAGAAAAAAATAAGAAAATGCAAACAGAAAATTAATAAAATTTAGAAAATAATCTGGGAACAAAATGAGAAATTTGACCAAAAAATAGAAATCCCAGACATAAAAAATACAATAACTAATGAAAACATTTATTCCAATGCTCTAACACCACACTTGGTCAAACAGATAAAAGAATTAGCAAGTTTGAAGATAGAATATGTGAAATTATATAGTCAAAAGAGGGAAAAAAAGAATTAAAAAGAGGGGAAGAAGGCCTATGAGAATTGGCCTTGATGTGACATGATCAAACAAACTAACCAACAGATAATAGAAATTTCTGAAAGAGATGAAAAGTCCTAGAAAACATATTTAAGGAAATAATGGCTGAAGAATTTCCAAATCTGGAGAAAAATGACACCATCCAGGTACATAAAGCTCAGAGGACACCAATCAAATTCAACCTGAACAGGAAATTCCTATGGCACATCATAATCAAATTAGCAAAAATCAAGGACAAAAAGAATAAATACTCAAAACAGCAAGAAAAGATAAATATATTACATTCAATAGAGCCCCAGTACAGCTTTCTGCAGATTTCTCAGCAGAAGCTCCGCAGGCCAGGAGAGAGTGGGATGCTGTATTTAAAGTGCTGAAGGAAAAACTACCAGCCAAAAACAGTGTACTAAAAAAGCTATCCTTCAAACATGAAGGAAAGATAGTCATTCTCAGACAAACAAACGCTGAAAGAATTCACCAACACCAGATCTATCTTACCAGAAATGCTAAACTAGGTTTTCAAACTGAAGGAAATGGAGGTTACTGTGTAACAAGAAAACATCTGACCATATTAAATTAACTGGGGGAAAAAAATACAGGCAGGCACGGCAGCTCATGCTTATAATTCCAGCACTTTGGGAGGCTGAGATCAAAGGATTGCTTGAGCTTAGGAGTTCAAGACCAGCCAGAGCAATATGGTGAAAGCAACAAAAAATACAAAAATTGGCCAGGCATAGTGGTGTAAGCCTGTAGTCCCAGCTACTTGGAAGGCTGACGTAAGAGGATCACTTGAGCCCAGGAGGTTGAAGCTGCAGTAAGCCACAATCACACCATTGTACTCTACCCTGGGTAACAGAATGAGACCCTATCCCTAGCTAAAAGCAAAATAAAATTGAAAAAAGGCAATTCAGAATACTCTAATACTATAATTAAGGTAAGAAAACCACTTATATCTTAAGTAAGAAGATTAAAAGACAAAACTATTATAAATGATTATAACTACAAAAATTGATTAATAGATAAACAATATTAAAAGGTGTAAATTGTAGCATCATAACCTTCAAAAAGTCAAAATATGGGAGGGAGGATTTGTGTTAAAGTGTAGAGTTTGTTTTTGTTACTTTTCTTTGCAATTAGTTAAGTCATAATCAGTTTAAAATAATCTGTTTTAAGATTATTTGCAACCCTCATGGTAACCACAAAGCAAAAACCTATAATAGGTGCACTAAAAATAAATAACACAAGATCAAAACATACTACTAGAGAAAATCACTTAACCACAAAGGAAGACAGTAAGAGAGGAAAAGAGGAAAAAAAGGATCTATACAACAAACAGAAAATAAGAAACAATATGGCAGTAGTAAATCCTTATCTATCAATAATAAGCTTGAATATAAATGGATGAAATATTCCAATTAACAGACATAAAGTGGCTGAATGGATAAAAACTAAGACCCAACAATATTCTGTCTACAAGAAACTCACTTTACCTATAAAGACAAGTACAAACTGTAAGTGAAGAGAAGGAAAAATATATTCATGCAAGTGGTAACCAGAATAGAGCAAGAGTAGCCATACTTAGATAAAATGCAGTTTAACACAATAATGGTTTTTAAAAGTCCATTCTACAATAATAAGGGGATCAAAAGCAAGAGATACCCTCTTAAACATAATATAAGAGGATACATACATACGTGCATAATTTATAATTATAAATACACAGGCACCCAACAATGGAGCACCCAAGTGTATAAAACAAATATTAATAAAATTAAGGGAGAAATTGATCCAGTACAATAATAATAGGGAACTTCAACACTCCTCTTCCAACAATGGGAAGATCATCCAGACAGAAAGTCAACAAAAAACGTTAGAGTTAAACTGAACTTTAGACCAAATGAACTTAACAGACATTAACAGAACATTCTGTTGAACAGCTGCAGAATACACATATTTTTCTCAACTGCACATAAAACATTTTCTAGGATAGACTACATATTACAGCACAAAAAAGTCAACACATTTTTTAAAAACTGAAATTATAGCAAGTATCTTTTCTGATCACAATGAAATAAATCAAGAAATCAATGTCAGAAACAACTTTAAAAACTGTACAAATTCATGGATAATAAACAACATGTTCCTGAATAACAAATGGGCCAATGAAGAAATTAAAATAAATTTTAAAATTTCTTGAGACAAACATAAATAGATATACAACATAGCGAAACTTATGGAATACAGTGAAAACAGTTCCAGAAGGAAAGTTTAAATGCCTACATCAAAAAAGTAGAAAGACTTCAAATAAATACCTAATGTTGCACCTCTAGTAAGTAGAAAAGCATAAACAGAACAAACCCCAAATTAGTAGAAGGAAAGAAATAACGAGATCAGATCAAAAGTAAATGAAATTGAAACTAAAAAAAAAAATCAAAAAACAAAAAGTCTGTTTTCTAAATAAACAAACAAAATTAACAAATCTTAAGTTAGACTAAAGAAAAAAGGACAGAAGACCCAAATAAATACAATCAGAGCAAAAAAGGAAGCATTAGAACAGATACCACAGAAATACAAAGAATAATGAGACAATTAAGAATAGCTATACACAAACGAATTGGGAAACCTAGATGAAATGGATAAATTTTTGGACATATGCAACCTGCCAAGATTCAATTATGAAGAAATAGAAAACCTGAGCAGATAATAATGAGTAATGAGATTTATCAGTAATTGTGTCTTCCATCAAAGAAAAGCCCAGGATCTTACAGCATCACTGAGGACTTTTACCAAACTTTTCTATTCTTATGTTTATACTAATACCAATTCTACTCAAACTATTTCAAAAAATTGAAGAAGAGAGAATACTTCCAAATATATTCTATGAGGCCAGCAGTACCCTGACACCAAAACAAGACATAAACACACAAAAAGCAAACAAAAAACTGCAAGCCAATATTCCTGATAAAAACAGATGCAAAAGTCCTCAACAAAATACTAGCAAACCAAATTCAACAGCATATTAAAAAGTCTAATTATTATGATCAAATGGGATTCAAGAATGATTCAACATATGCAAAAAATAAACTTTTTACATCATATTAACAGAGCCAGCAATAAAAGCCATAAAGTCATTTCAATTGATGCTGAAAATAATTCAATAAAATTTAATATCTCTTTGTGATAAAGACTCCCAACAAACTGGCTCTAGAAGGAATATATCTCAAAACAATAAAGGCCATATATGATAAGCCCACAGGTATCATCATGCCGAATTGGGAAAAACTGAAAGCTTTTTATCTGAGATCTAGAAGATGGCAAGGACGTTCACGTTCTCCACTTTTATTCATCATAGTACTGGAAGTTCTAGCCAAAACAATTAGGGAAGAGAAAGAAATTGGAAAGGAAGAAGTCAAATTATTCTGGTTCTCAGACAACAGGATTCTAACCTAAAGATTCCATCAAAGAACTGTTAGAGCTGATAAATGAGTTCAGTGAAGATGCAGAACACACACACACAAAATGTACAAAATTAGTAGCATTTATACACTCCAACAGTGAACAATCTGAAAAAAAAGAAAACATCCTGTCAGATTTATAGTTTGTGAATATTTTCTCCCATTTGCAGGTTGTCTGTTCACTTAGTTGAATATTTCTTTTGCTGTGCAGATGCTTTTTAGTTTAATTAAATCACATTTGTCTATTTTTGTTTTTCTTGCTTATACTTCTGATGTCTTAGTCAAGAATTATTTGCCTAGACAAATATCTGGAAGAATTTTTCCTAAATTTTCTTCTAGGATTTTTATATTTTCACCATCCTGGCTAACATGGTGAAACCCCATCTCTACTAAAAATACAAAAATTAGCTGGGCATGGTGGCGGGCGCTTGTGGTCCCAGCTACTCGGGAGGCTGAGGCAGGAGAATGGTGTGAACCCGGGAGGCAGAGCTTGCAGTAAGCCAAGATCATGCCCCTGCACTCCAGCCTGGTGACAGAGCAAGACTCCATCTCAAACAAACAAACAAAAAATTATTCAAACTGGAAAAGAAGTCAAATTGTTCCTCTTTGCTGATAATGTGTTCTTACGTCTAGTAAAACAGATTTGATAAATACATTTAATTCTTTAATAGAACTTGAGTTGATTATTGTACATGGTGAGAGATTTAGGTCCAGTTTCATTTTTCTGCTTGTGCCAATCCAATTTTCCCAGCACTATTCATTGAAAAGGTTGTCCTTTCCCTGTCTATGTTCTTCTTAACCTTGTCAAAGATCAGTTAGCTGTGGATATGTGGCTTTATTTCTGGTCTCTCTGTTCTGTTCCATTCATCTGTGTGTCTATTTCTATACCAGAACCAGGTGTGCTGTTTACCATAGCTTTGTAATATAATTTGAAGTCAGGTAATATAATGCCTACAGCTTCGCTCTTTTTGTTTATGATTGCTTTGGCTATTTGGCTCTTTTCTGGTTCCATATGAATCTTAGGATTATAATTTTCCAATTCTGTGGAAAATGACATTGGTATTTTAATAGGGATTGCATTTGATCTGTAAATAGCTTTGGTCAGTATAGTCATTTTAACAATACTAATTCTTCTAATTCAGAAGTATGGGATTTTTTTCATTTGTTTGTATTCTCTTCAATTTTTTTCATCAGTGTTTTGTAATTTTCCTTGCAGAGATCTTTTACCTCTTTGGTTAAATTTATTCCTAAATATTTTATTTTTTTAGGTAGGTATTATAAATGAGACTGCATTCTTGAATTTCTTTCTTGGCTAGATCATTAATGGTGTATAGAAACACTACTGATTTTTGTATGTTGATATTGTATCCTGCAACATTACTGACTTTATTTATCAAATCTGTTTTACTAGACATAAGAACATATTATCAGCAAAGAGGAACAATTTGACTTCTTTTCCAGTTTGAATAATTTTTTGTTTGTTTGTTTGTTTGAGATGGAGTCTTGCTCTGTCACCAGGCTGGAGTGCAGGGGCATGATCTTGGCTTACTGCAAGCTCCGCCTCCCGGGTTCACGCCATTCTCCTGCCTCAGCCTCCCGAGTAGCTGGAACCACAAGCGCCCGCCACCATGCCCTGCTAATTTTTGTATTTTAAGTAGAGACAGGGTTTCACCATGTTAGCCAGGATGGTCTCGATCTCCTGACCTCGTGATCTGCCCGCCTTGGCCTCCCAAAGTGCTGGGATTACAGGTGTGAGCCACCACGCCCGACCTTGAATACGTTTTTATGCTTTCTTTTTCCTGATAGCTCTGCCTAAGACTTTTAGTACTATGTTAAATTGGAGTGGTGAAAATGGGTATTCTTGTCTTGTTCTAGTTCTGACAGAAAAGGCTTTCAACTTTTTCCCATTCAGTATGACATTTGCTATGGGTTTTCCATATATGGTCTTTATTACTGTTAGTTATGTTCCTTATGTGCCTACTTTATTGAGAGTTTTGAACGTGAAAGGATGTTGAATTTTATCAAATGCTTTTTCCCCATCTATTGAGATGATCATATGGTTTTTGTCTCTCATTATGTTAATGTGATGTATCACATTTATTGATTTGCATATGTTGAACCATCCCTGGTATAAATCCCACCTGATGGTGATGTATTGTCTTTTTAATATGCTGGAATGCTGTTTTTTAGTATTTTGTTGAAGATGTTTGCATCTATGTTTATCAGGGTAATCAGCCTGTAGTTTTTGTTGCTGTTGTTGTTGTATCCTTGGTTTTGGTATCAGGGTAATAATGCTGACAGAATGGGTTAGGAAGAATTCTCTCCTCTTCAATTTTTTTGAATAGTTTCAGGAGGATTATTGTTAGTTCTTTGTATCTTTGCTAGAATTTGGCTATGCATCCATCCAGTCCTAGGCTTTTCTTTCATAGGAGGATTTTTATTACTGTTTCGATCTTGATACTTGTTATTGGTATATTTAGGGTTTTGGTTTTTCCTGACTTAATCTTGGCAGGTTTTATATTTCCAGAAATTTATCCATTATCCAATTTCTCCAGTTTTCAGCATATAGTTGTTCATAATAATCTCTCACAAACATTGGTATTTCTGTGATATTAGTTGTAATATCTCCTTTTTCATTTCTGATTTTAGTTATTTGTGTCTTCTCTCTTCTATTCTTGGCTAGTGATTTATCAATTTTGTTTATCGTTTCAAAGAACAAGCTTTCTGTTTAGTTGACCCTTTTAATTTTTGTCTCTATTTCATTTAGCTCTGCTCGAATCTTCGTGATTTTTTGCTGCTGCTAATTTTGGTTTTGGTCTATTCTTGCTTTTCTAGTTCCTTGAGATACACTGTTAGATTGTTGATTTGTAAACTTTCTACTTTTCTGGTATAGACACTTATTGCTATAACCTTCTCTCTTAGCACTGCTTTTGCTGTATCCCACAGATTTTTGGTATGTTGTGTATTCATTTTCACTTTTTTCAAGAAATTCTTAAATCTGCAACTTAATTTTTTTGACCCAATAATCATTCAAGATTTTGTTGTTTAATTTCCTTGTATTTATATCATTTTCTGAGTTTCTCTTGATTCCAATTTCTAGTTTAATTTTATTGTGGACTGAGAAGATACTTTATATTATTTATTATTATTTTATTTTAGTTCAGTTTAGTTTATTTTTTGAGACAGAGTTTCACTCTGTCACCCAGGCTGGAGTGCAGTGGTGTGATCTCAGCTCACTGCAACCTCCACCTCCTGGGTTCAAGCCATTCTCCTGCCTCAGCCTTCTGTGTAGCTGGGATTACAGGTGCACACCACCATCCCCGGCTAATTTTTGTATTTTTAGTAGAGACGGGGTTTTACCATGCTGGTCAGGCTGGTCTCAAACTCCTGACATTGTGATCCACCCACCTCAGCCTCCCAGAGTGCTGGGATTACAGGCATGAGCCACCACACCCAGCCTATATTATTTCATTTAAATATATATATATTTGAAACTTGTTTTGTGGCCTAACATGTGTTCTGTCCTGGAGATGGTTTCAATTGCTGATTAAAAGAATGTATATACTACAGTTGTTGGATACAGTGTTCTATAAGTGTCTGTTAGGATCATTTGGTCTAAACTCCAATTTAAACCCAATGTTTCTTTTCTGATTTTCTTTCTAGAGGGTCTATCTAATGCTGAGAGTAGGATGTTGAATTCTCTCACTATTATGGTATTGCAGTCAATCTCTTAATTGAGATATAGCAATAAATGCTTTATGAATCTAAGTGCTCTGGTGTTAGGCACATATATATTTAGAATTCTTATATCCTTTTCTTAGATTAATCAATTTATCATTATATAATTGACCTTCTTTGTCATTTTTACTGTTCTTGACTTAAAGTGTGTTTTATCTGATACAAATATAGCTACTTCTGCTCACTTTTCATTTCTGTTTGCATAGAATATTTTTTTCCTCCCTTTATTTTCAGTTTATATGTGTCTTTACTGGTCAGATGAGTTTCTCATTAGCAGCATATACTTCAATCATATTTTTTAACATCCATTTACTCATTCTATATCTCTTAAAAGGAGAATTTAATCCATTTGTACTTAAGGTTATTGTTGATATGTCAGGCTTTGTTCCTGTCACATTGTTGTTTTCTGGTTGCTGTATATATTCTTTGTTTCTCTCTTTTTCTCTTATAGTTTGTCATTGTGGTTTGGTGGATTTCTGTAATGGTACCATTTGAGTCCTTTCTCATTCTCCTTTGTATAATTGCTTTACTGGTGAGTTTTATAATTTCATGTGTTTTTTCCTTATTGTAAATATTGTCCTTTCACTTTCAGGTTTAGGACTGCCTTGATTTCTTGTAGGACTGGTCCCATGGTAACAAATTCTCACAGCCTCTGTTTGCCTAGAAATTACTTTATTTCTTCATCATTTATGAAGGAAAATTTTGCTAACTATAATGTACTGGGGTGGCAGTTTTCTTCTTCTGGCACTCTAAGTATATTATCCCATTATCTTCTGGTCTTTAAGGTTTCAGCTGAGAAATCCACTGTTAGTCTGATGGGGTTTTCTTTATAGGGGACTAAATGCTTTCTCTTACTGTTTTTAGTATTTGTTGTTTAACATTGATTTTAGATAATCTGATTATAATGTGCTGTGGAGAAAACCTTTTGGTGTTGTATCTTCCTGGGGATCGTTGAGCCTCTTGTATATGAATGAGCAAATCTCTTGCTAAAGTTGGGTAGTTTTTATTTATTATTATGTTAAATAGGTTTTCTAATAATTTCTTTGTTTTTTTGCCCTGCAGTATACCAATAATTCATAAGTTCAGTCACTTTATGTCATCCCAAAAGTCATTCTTTTTTGTTTTTATTTATTTTTGTCTTACTAGATAATTTGAAAAGACCTGAGAATATTCCTTCTGCCTGATCTCGTGTATTGTTGAAATTGTCAAATGTATTTTGTATTTCCTTTAATGACTTCTCCAGTTCTAGAACTTCTATTTGGTTCTTTAAAAAAAAATCTATCCTTTTGGTAAGTTTCTCATTTATATCCTGAATCATTTTTCTGATTTTTTGTTTTTGAATTTGATTGTATCTCACTGAGCTTCTTTAAAATTAACATTTTGAATTATTTAGCTGAGATTTCAAAAATTTCTTTTTGATTTTGATCTATTACTAGAGATTTATTGTGTTCCTTTGGAGGTGTCATATTTCCTTGCTTTTTCATGATTGCTGTGTATTTAGAAGATATCTGTTTATCTGGTGTAACAGTCACTTCCTCCTATTTTTGAACTTCCTTTTATAGGGGAGAACATTTTCCTGCAGATGTATCTATGGTTTTGGTTGGATAGGGTACTTTGGCTTTGATTCTGGGTGCATGCAGTAGTGTAGTCTCTGTATAATTTCTTTGGCTATAAAAAGCTTTAATGATATCTACTATTTCCTGGGTGGGTGAGGCTATGGTAATTAGCAGAAACTGTGGTGAAATTGTGCTAAGAGACTAGGATTGCAGGTTGGCCAGTCTTTAGAACCCAGTGGGAGCATTGGTGGACTGACCATGCCTACCTTTGTGCCCCAGGAAAGTGCATGCTACGACTTGTGTTGGCAGTTATTGGTGAGTTGATTCTTGGCCCTCTAGGTGGTTTGCTCAGATGCCAATAGTGGCAGTGGTGGATCAGGTGGCTGGGAGGGTTGTCAGGCCTCTGGGTGATGGGTGATGGCAGTAGCAATGGTGAGATGATTCTCTTGGTCTCAAGCAGTGTGCATTAACATTGGCAGTAGCTGTGATCGGCTGGGCAGCCCAGTCTTCAGGCCCATAGGTGGCTCTTACAGCTGAGGTGTTAGTGGTAGGAGTTTAGACACAAACTCTGATCCCCAGGAAGTGTGCTCAGGTGCCCAAGGTAGAGAATTATGTTGGGCAATCCCCAAGACCCTGGACTATGTGCTCGGTCTCAAAGGAAAGGGCAAAGATGGTCCAGGTGGGCTAGTACTCAAGCCCCACAATGGTGAAAGTAGGAATCATTCATGGTGTGTGGGAGTGGGGCAGTCCTTAAACCCCAGGTGGGGTTTTCAAGTGAGGGATGGCAGCATCCATGGTGAAGAGGTGTTTCTCATTGAGATAATGGAAGAATGAACATGTATTTATCATTGAGATAATGGAAGAATGACCCTGAGGGCATTTTGGAGATTATCAGGGTGGCCCCTTCCATCACAAGCACAGGAAGTCAGGGTTTAAGGGACAAAATGATTTCAAAAGAGGGCCCAGAGGCACTTGAGGGACTTTAGCACACACTACCCAATGCTGTCTCAAGACTCTGATCCCCACATTTTGACACAGCACTACTCACCTACCCCAGGTTTTGCTCCAACTGGCCCACATACAGCAGCAACATCAGTGGCCACTTCTCTGATGGCACACAGAGTACATTAGCCACAGGGATGTAGCTACCTTCACCTACATTTCCAAGGATAGAGGCACCAGAAGCCTTGGGTGCATAGCCACCATGAGAGCAGAGCTACCACAGAAAGACCCCACTAGTGCAATGCTGATGGAGCCATGAGAATGAGGCCACCCCTGAGACTCCAAACCAACAGAGGATCCTAGTGTGTGATTCCAGTCTGAGAGAGCTACAGGCGGGTGACTCCAACACATGAGAGCTGCCATGGGGGAATATTGTTAGATCAATTTCTAATATACCAAATAATTTTATGAATAAAGAACTCATTATATTTATAGAAATATAAGCTAACAAATTGTAGACTATCTTACATATGAAAACCTTTTGGAGGCTTAGGGAGAAAATGCCAAAACATTTTATCTTATTTGCATCCTAGAAAAAAATGTCTAAATTGTCTGCTCAAATTTCCCAAATCAAAATAAATAATAAATTCTTGCAAAATATAGTGACCTACTTCACCAGTGTAAACCAAAATAGAATTATAAATCCCTCAACCAACTAAAGAACCCTCCCCTTAGCCAAGAGCATTCCAAAGTTAACCTGAAAAATTAGTTGAGGCCATGATGGGAAGTAGGGGTCGAACATGCATTATTATGCCCTCCTCCCTTTGGAATTTAGAAACGGCTGACCAGCATTAACATTAAAACAGGAACCTTAAGACTGATAGAACAGACTCTTTAAGTCTGATAGGAAACATTTACAAGCTATTCTCTCTGAAGCCTGCTACCTGGCGGCTTCATCTGCATGATAAAACCTTGGTTTCCACAACTCCTTATCTTAATTCAGACATTCCTCTCTATTGATTCCAGGTCTTTAGATAGTAACTCTTTCAACCAATTATCATTCAGAAAATCTTTGAATCCACCTATGACCTGGTAACCCCCGCTTCCAGTTGTCCCACCTTTCCAGACAAAACCCATGTACATCTTACATGTATTAATTGATGCCTTATGTCTCCCTAAAATGTGTAAAACCAAGCTGTCGCCCAACTGCCTTGGGCGCATGTTCTCAGGACCTGTTGGGATCTGTGTCATGGGCCATTGGTCACTCATATTTGGCTCAGAATAAATAATCTTTAAGTGTTTCATGGAGTTTAAGTCTTTTCATCAACACCAGGTTGTTTAAATAAATTAATAAATGGTTAAATACTGATAAAAATATAAATTACTTTAGAATATCACATAGTAATAAAAAGCCACCAATAAGATGAAGATAGAATTAAATAGAAAAAATCACTTCTGCAATCAGAATAAAGACAGGCTTAAAAAGGAAACACAGATTTCTATCTTCAGTATATAAATTATGGTACATCACTGGATATATGCTCAAACTGAAATCAAATCAATCTTATCATAACATTTCTTTAAAAAGGCCCTTAAGACGTAGGAGCAAGAAAGATCCCTTTCTTGTGGTTTTTGAATTAATGATATCTTTAATTTACACTTCTCAAAGCTGCTTATTTTTTCATATAGAACAGCCTTAAAGTTTTTGGTTCCAAAAGGAAAATCAATTATATCTTCAGAAACTCACTTCTTTGTGATTAAAAAAAAAAAATTCTTCGTGCATTAGAAAAAGTAATAAACTCTCTTATTTCCCATGAACAAGGAAAGTATTTCTTAATTCCTTCTCCATAGCCTCTTCTCCTCTAGTCCTAAGATATGTAGATTTTTTTTACTTTGTTTACTCAACCTTAATCAAAAAGTTAAAACTTTGTTATCTGTTATAAAATATTTTGAATGCATCTTCATGCAAAACTCCTTATCCTGAATCAGTTAGTTAACCCATAGTGTTCTGTAAGTCACTGATAAGTTGTTATTTTTTTCTTTCTTTTTTTTAAAAAAAAACGACAAGGTCTCACTGTCCCAGGTTGGAGTGCTGTGGCATGATTACGGCTCACCATAACCTTGAACTCCGGGGCTCAATGATCCTCCTGCCTCAGCCTCCTAAGAAGCTAGGACAGCAAGTGTGTGCCACCATGCCTGGCTAGTTTTTTTGTTTGTTTGTTTGTTTGTTTTTATGTTTTGTAGTGATATGTTCCTGCCATGTTACCCCTGGTCTTGAACTCCTAAACTCAAACAATCCTCCTGTCTCAGCCACCCAAAGTGCTGAGACTACAGGTGTGAGCCACTGTGACCAGCCAGTTGTTATTTCTATTAAAATAATAATGACATAGATTTAAGACTGGTTCTGGTGATTATTTGTTAATATGGCTACTCTAGCGGCCAAGGGAAAGCTTTCTCTTCATCCTCTGAAGTTTCACTGAAAAAAAAAAAATCTCACAAAAGGCAGATTAATAGGAGAAATGACATACAAATTAATTATTATGCATAGAAAGAACCTCAGAGTGATTACTCCATCCCCCAATGGAGTACAGAAGCGTGTATACCACCTTGAGGTTATAGAAAGAATAGGGGCTTGGATCTTGGCCAAAACCAGGTTATGGAAGTAAGTCAGGTTATAGTAATAGTAACAAAACAGGTTATAAGAGAGAGAAACGAGGAGGCATGGCTAGCAAAGGAGTCTTCTTAAATAGATGAAACCTCACAAGTAGCAGCCTTCAGAGAGAAGAGATGGTAAATATTTATTTCAGACCTTTAAGGTGCCAGTCTTTCAATTAATCTTTCCTAAATCTGGACAAGGGAGAGTCTCAGAGAAAACCCAATTGCATCAATGCCATATTCTCTTTTTTTTTTTTTTTTTTTTTTTTTTTTTTTTTTTTTTTTGAGATGGAGCTTCGCTCTTGCCACCCAGGCTGGAGTGCAATGGCGCGATCTCGGCTCACTGCAACCTCTGCCTCCCAGGTTCAAGTGATTCTCCTACCTCAGCCTCCCGAGTAGCTGGGATTACAGGCACACACCACCATGCCCAGCTAATTTTTGTATTTTCGGTAGAAATGGGGTTTCACCATGTTGTCCAGGCTAGTCTCAATCTCTTGACCTTGTGATCTGCCCGCCTCAGCCTCCCAGAGTGCTGGGATTACAGGCGTGAGCCACTGCACCTGGCCCAGATTCTCTTCAGATGCAAACATCCCTCACAAAAGACAGCTCTGCAGGATTACCTCTGTATGCTGGTTCTCTGAATAACCATCTCAAAATATGTCAAAGAACTATATTTTGGAATGAAATATTTTCATTTCCTTCATCATAGAAAAATTAGTCTTTTTCTAGAATCACAAATAACCAGAAGAACACATCTTAAATGTATTTAATAAATCAGCAACAGTCATACTCCAATAAACCTGAATCTGAAAGCAGCCAATTAACAACATTCTCTTCTGAGGTATCACATTTCTAAATCTGGCATTAGCCCACTCCTACCTTTGAAAATTTACCATTCCCTCCACACCATGCATCCCCCAAAGTCCTGTGTAAGATCAATTATCTGCTTTGCTTGAGAAGACTTTGCTGGACTCTCATAACTATTGTTTACCTAAGTAAGCAATAAATTTAGCTTTGCATTTTATTTGCATTATTGGTTGGTGGGCTCATCCATTTATATAATTATAGTTTTATTTGGTTTCTTTGTTTGTTTGTTTTTTTGAGATGAAGTCTTGCCCTTTCACCCAGGCTGGAGTGCAGTGGCACAATCTCAGCTTACTGCAACCTCCACCTCCCGGGTTCAAGCGATTCTCCTGCCTCAGCCTCTTGAGTAGCTGGGATTACAGGCACCTGCCACCATGCCCAGCTAATTTTTGTATTTTTAGTATTCACCATGTTGTCCAGACTGGTCTCGAACTCATGACCTCAGGTGATCCACTCACCTGGGCCTCCCAAAGTGCTGGGATTATAGGTGTGAAACACTGCACCTGGCCAATATGACTATGTTTTATTTTGTTTTGTTTGAGATGGAGTATCATTCTGTCACTCAGGCTGGAGTGCAGTGGCACAATCTCAGCTCACTGCAACCTCCACCTCCTGGGTTCAAGCAATTCTCCCGCCTCAGCCTCCTGAGTAGCTGGGACTACAGGTGCATGTCACCACACCTGGCTAATTTTTTTATTTTTAGTAGCAATGGGGTTTCACCATGTTAGCCAGGATGGTCTCGATCTCCTGACCTTGTGACCTGCCTGCCTCGGCCTCCCAAAGTGCTGGGATTACAGGCGTGAGCTACCATGCCCGGCCATGATTATGTTTTAACAAGTGTACTTACCTAGAAAAATAACTTTGACTCTGGTCCTTTTTTTCACAATTTTCTTCAATACAATCTGGATATTTTTGGCAGTATTACCTTTACTATCCTTTGCCATATTTCTTTTTCTTGAAGAATACATAATGATCCTCTCATATTTCTATCATCGGTAAAACTTCTTTTGACATTCGTGTCTCCATATAGGCTAGTTTCTATACACACAACTTGTCAGATCAACCAATGCCGATAGGAGCTTCCAATTAGTATTTCACTTTTATGAAATTTCTTCACTGTCTTCCTGGTCAAAATTCATTTGCCCTTGGAGAATCACTATCAAGGAAAAAAAAAAACACATTCTGAAATATTTTTAACTCATTTTAAAAATTGAATTGAACGTTTATTCAACTAAATTGAATACAGTAACTTAATTGAACGTCATACAGTATATTTAAAATATTTTACATTAGCCAAAATTTGCAGGATTTTATTTTTGAAATGGAAATGAGGAGGGAAAAATCAGATTTTATCATCAAATTCTGCTTAACTTCACACTCTTTGAAATGAATCTCAACTATTTCTCTGAAAATAAAGCCTTTATAAGTGTGACTATGTTCTCCATGGTACAGGTAATATTGAACAATTAAAAAAATAGAATGATAAAATGAATAGATCAATTTATTCACTTATATACTAGAAAAAATAAAATTGACATTTTCCCTATTGTTGCCCATAGACCTAGGCAAAAGGAAATCCTTGGTCAGGGTCATAAGTTTTTAAGAGTCTCACATATCATAAATATCATTTATTAAAAAACATATGGGTTCTGACTCTCAGAATTCAACACTCAGTGCTGATAGCCGAATCTATAACCCTAAACATCAGCATCAACTCTTACGCCTAACAATTGTTCAGGCCCCAAGAGAAAGCTTTGAAACATTTCTTGCCTATGTCCTCCAAAACAAAAGATGATTGCATCCAGTCGCCAGGAAAGTCTGTGAATTCTATAGCTTCCCTATCTGACACAAACACAGCTTGAGAAGGAGGAAGATATGAATGGCAGAGGTGCTTAAATAGGAGAAAAACCGATATAATTACCTAGTCAATTCCTTCCTGTCAGCATGAACACAATACATTCTCACAGAGCAAAAAATTTCCCATTAGTACATAAACCCTAACAGTCATAGAAGGTAGACATGACAAATTTACTATATTACACAATTCTCATTACTAGGTCTAGACTTATCATATGAATACTTCACTTTCATGTAGTATGTAAAAGAACATTATTTTATTAAATGTTTAATAGGATTTAACTAAATGTTTGAGAATATTAAATTAAAATGTTCAGTTTAATACAATTATTTGAATTAATTTTTGAAATTATTATTTAGAAGTTATATTTTGCATTTTAATTTCAAGATAAAACTTTTTGGAAAATAAGTTTTAGTTATTTTTACATTACTATACTTTGGTGAAAATGTATTTAATTTCTTATACTGGGAAAGCAATTACAGTCTTTTAGATGATTGAAAGTAACTTCACGTTTACATCATAGTATACATAAACGTGAAGAGCCAAAGAAGTTGAAAACAATAAAAAAACTCTTTAGAATGGTAGCTTGTTTATTTTTATTTAAGTGAAAAAAAAGAAAGAAACTAGATTTTACTTAAACATGACCAACCTAAGTTTAGCATACAGGATACTACAAATGATTAATTTAATGAAGATTTATTTTTTAATCAAAATAATGAAAATGAGAAAAAAAAAGTATCACCTCAAATTCAGAACTTGAACAGTTCAGATGAAAATCCTGCAATTTCACTTAATCATTCTTGATTAAAAGAACATTAAATGTGTCACTTGCATACAAAAAGGAGCAGGTGCATTTATTAGAACTGAAAGAAAACTGAATAAACAGCAACATATAGTGTTTAACAGTGATAAGAAAATGCCTATAGAGAATATCAGTTTGAAGTTATTTAAATAATAAAATTTGTTCATTTTTGCCAAGTGTGACATTGATTTTGTATACAATGTTTACAGAAAACAACAAAAAATATTTAGATTTAGTAAAAATGATCTCAAAAAGTGATGTAACATTAAACATGTAAACCTGATATAAATAATAAAATTAATAATCGCTAGACATGAGGAACATTTCCTGTCCCAATGCAAAACCAAACACCACTGAGGGCCATTTAGCATCACTAGGATTCTTGGCTTTGGTTCCTAATAAATATGTTAAATATACTGGAGCAGGAAGAGCCGCAGACAAAACCCCTCAGTAACCGAGTTAAAGAAGGACAGAGTTTATTCGGCTAGGAGCATCAGCAAGACTCCTGTCTCAAGAGCCGAGCTCTCTGAGTGCACAATTCCTGTCCCTTTTAAGGACTCACAACTCTAAGCAGTTTGATCTTCAGTTACCAGGCCTGGAATGCAGTGCCAGGTTGTCTGGACTCTATTAACATAACCGGTTAGGTTAGATCTTCAGCTACCAGGCTTGAAATGCAGCGCAGGGCTGTCTGACTGATTTTATTTCTTGTCTTTTCTTTAACTCCTACTTTTTCTTTGAGGCAGAAATTGAGCATAGGGCAATATGGGGGGTGGTCTCCTTCCTTATTCCCCACTTTGAGACTCTCACTTATTTTATTAGTGGGAGTTCTCATCTGTATCCTCACTACCTGCGTCTTCCTGTATGACAGATCGATAGTGATTCATGTAGTACACTTGTGCTGAAGCATTCTGGTGAACTAGAGTAGTGTTGAAACCTTTCACCTATTTGAATGAGTACAGGTAGTAAACAAGGGATCAGTAAGCAGGTTCCTATTACTACTATAATTCCTATTATAAGACTTTTAAATCCTCCTAGCACTGGGAAACATTTTCGAACAAGGCCTCAGGGTCAAATCCGTGTCATACTTGTACAGGCACATGTGCCAGTTTCATGAAGTCTTTAACTAGATCTTCGACTACTTGCCCCTGGTCATCTACCTGCAGGCAGCAATTGGTAAGGTTAAATTTTCCACAGACTTCTCCTTCAGTTGCTAGCAAGTAGTCGAGAGTTAATCTATTTTGATAGATAGCATTTCTCATCTGAGTTTCTTGCCAGGCCAGAACAGTCAAGGCTTTACCAACGATCTCCAAGACAGCTTGCCACAATATGATTCGGTTGAGCATGTAATTGGGGGTCCGGTATCCCCATGAGCCATCTTGTGCCCAAGTGGCAGGCCCATAGTATTGTATAATTTTTTCAGGAGGTCATTCATCATCTTTTCAATTACCTATGGCTATGTTTCACTTTTCGCAGGAAGCATAGAGAGGGAAGCCCAGGAGTTCACCTGTTTTTATGGGCAGTAGGAAGAAAGATGGTTTAATAGTGCCAGTAACACAACTTCCTGTCCACTCATCAGGCAGCTTAGTGTAGGCTCTACGTCCACATATCCAGTATAGCCCAGTGGGGGCCGTTCAGTCCCAGTGGGATTCTGGGTGGGCCCAAACGGTCTGCAACTTTGGAAATTTATTGAATGGATTTTTGTCTGTGTGGTTTGAACTCCACCGTGTAACTGTTTTTGTGGTACCATTATACAGTTTTTGTCCCAGGCAACTAAGTCGTCCTACAGAATGAGTGAATTCTTTTCCTTCTCTAGCTATACAATAGTGTCCAATAATTGAGACTTTTAGAACACAGAAATGATCAGGGTGATTCTTTTGGGCTGGGAATTCATCAAGAACTGGGTCTATAGGCACTAATTCTCAGGCTTCCCATGGCCATTGACCTTCCATTACAGTTCCTCCACAAACATAACTTGAAGTGACATTTAGAGACTGGGCTACATGCTCGGCTAACTGCAAAAACAAATTTCTTGTTTTTCCTGGAATTTCTGGTACTGGCACATTCAGTTTATCATAGAAGGTTTGAAATACTGGCTCAGGAGAGCATTTATAAACTTCTCAAACCATGATATTTACTCGAGGATTCAGTCCAGCCCTATCGATTCCTAGGGTTACACATTCCCTTTTTTTCCAGCGAGGATCAAGGGGGTTGGTTATTACTCATTCTAAGGGGTTACACTGACCACTGGTACAAGAAGGGCCACTTTTCCCTTTCTGAAGGTGACAGGATCCTTTTTACTTTTTTATCTAAGTAGCCTAAATGACACAAGACCAGCATCCACATTCATTTCTACACAGTCTTAATTCATGACAAATGTGCTTATTTTCTGCCATATAGCCTCTTTCCTAATTAAGAGAAGCACATCCTATTTCTAACTTATTACTATTAATGACAGCACAGGCATCAAATTTTAAGATGACTTGTTTGGGCACCCCTTTTTCTTTTGTTTTGGCTAACACTTTACTCATATCATTTATGAGCCTCTACGAGTCCTCAGTCCTTAATCTTATTTCAAAAACTGTGGTCATGGGAGGCTCAGATGGGTCATAACACACATCAGGTTGGTCATTGCTTGGGCAACATACCTTGCATAGAATAGCATTATACAAACAATTTTTTTTAGAGTCCCGGTACCCTTATAATAATCATAAAATAATAGGACTGTAGCAACTTTTTGTCCCACCTCAGTGACTTGATGTATACACTGGGAACAGTCCTCAATCTGAGGGAGGTCAGTTGAAGTCCTTACTATACGAGTCCAAATTTTAAGGAAAATGAGTCCCGCGATGAGTTTCCTCATGCTTCGGCCATGCATGGACCAGTCAGCTTCCGGGTGTGACTGGAGCAGGGCTTGTCATCTTCTTCAGAGTCATTTTGCAAGGGTTGGCAAAGCTGCTCCCATCCACATACAGCTCCTAGTCTACTGATGTTTAAGGATGGTCTTGGAGGTTGGGCCCACCAGACTAAAATGAGTCCAATACCTCTATACAGTTATGTTCAACTGGGCTCTCTGATACCGGGAGCAAGGTGGCGGGGTTTAGGGTATTGCAAACTTCAATGGTTACGCAGGGATTTTCACAGAGCAAGCTTTGGTATCCAGTTAGTCTGGCATTCGTTAGCTAATGATGTCTTTTGGTATTTATTAAAGTCACCACAGCATAGGGGGACTTTATGTTTAGGTTTTGCCCAAGTGTTAGCTTATCTGCTTCTTGTGCTAATGGGGTCATTGCTGCCAGGGCCCTTAGACATGGGGGCCAGCCTTTGGAAACCACGTCTAGTTGTTTTGAGAGATAGGCCACTGGCCTTGGCCAGGGCCCCACAGTGTGGGTTAAAACTCCAACTGCCATTTTTCTTCTTTCTGACACATAGGGTGTAAAGGGTTTTGTCAGGTCAGGTAGCCTCAGGGCTGGGGCCAACATGAGTTTTTCTTTTAACTCATGAAAAGCTCTTTGCTGTTGGTTGTTACAGATGTAGTTTATCCAATTTACATTTTTATTAACTGACACCTACCAAAATATTGACTCAAATCCTGTAGCTATTTGATTTCAAGCTTTAAATTGATCCGGTATTCCCCGTGGGACTCCAATTGTGTCTAAATGGACGTGAGAGTCGAAAGACCCATAAAGGGCTTCTCTCACTTTATGAAGTCTTATTTTTCCTCCCTCTGGTTGATGAAATGCCAGGGTGAAAGAGATAGCCAGTTGGACTAAAGTACAAGTGCCACTCCAGTTATTCGGCAGAGTGCCCAGTAAAGGTCCACCAAAATACCACCACACATCTGCTTGGGGATGAACAAAGGCTGACTGACTGATAAGCTCTTGAAAATTTTTAAGCTCATGGCATCCTTTCAGGTCTCCAAGGAATGCTAAGTTTCCTCCCTGTCATGAGAGACACGAAGTGAACTTAGTATCGGAAGAGGGAGGCTGGATGGCCCTCGGGGGCTGACCCACAGGGTGCCGGACTTTGGGATATAGCAGAGAGAGCTTGGGGTGACTTATTACTCCAGGCTATAGAATCCTGGAAAAGAGCTACCATGCAGCCTATGCCTGGCCAACTAGAAGACCATCTTAATGGAAGGGGGACAATCTGGGCCTCTGGCCTGCCATGTGCACAAGCATAACAATTGCTTTTGTTTAACGTGCAGATGGAATATTTGATCCATTTTAACCAGGCATTTGCATCTTGGTATCCTGTCTTAATTGCTAAAGTTTGTTTTAAGTCTTTAACTTCTATCATCCTCTAGTAAAATGAATGTATGGTTTTAGGAAATTATAAAAACAGGTTGGGGCAGTCCATCCTTGCTCTTTAGTGGTCCATAGAATGTTGGACCAACTATGGCATGAAAGCTCTACATCGGGGGGCAAGACTCCTGGTTGGCACTGGGGTCTTTATCAAAATCTCCCCAGATTAAATGGTCCTAGTTTACTAATGCCCAGTCTGAGGAGAGTCAGGAGGGACAGAAGTACTTTTCTGAAGTAGAAAGCTGTCTCTGACTTGGCAAGTCCCCACAGGGTATAACAAGGCAAGCATTAAATGCAATAGTTTGAGGCAAAATTGACTTGGTTGTGTTAATAACCAGATGGTCAGCAATAGAACGAAGAAAGAAGAAAGAGTAATAGAATAGATGAAAGGGTTAAATTTTTCTTAGCTTTAGTTTGGTAGGATTTTCCCCTGGGACTGTGGCCCATGACTCTGGAGGGTGTGGCACTTTGACTCAGATGTGATGAGTCCATCCCTTTTCCACTGTAGGAACAGCAGTCTCGGTGGTTAGCAGCACAAGGTAGGGTCCTTCCTAGGCCGGCTTGAGTTTTTCTTCTTTCTACACTTTGATAAGAAGGTGATCTTCAGGCTGGTGCTGGTTTACTGGAAATTCTAGGTGTGGTACATGTGCTAAAAGACTTTTAGTTTTAAGGGAAAGGAAAGTGGAAGATAAACCAAGTATATAATTTCTAAGAAATTGACTTTTTGTTTTAAATGTGGGGACATCAGCAGCGGACCTTATAGTCTTTGGTGCCTTCTTACTGAGAAATTTCCATTAGCACCTATTTTTATTAGATTTTAGACCAAAGAAAGCCAAACACCATTTTATATTTAATAATGCTTCTTGTATGATTTTTATACCAGATAAGTTAAATTTCACCTTTACATTAATGTGCTATTAATGTTAAACTTAGTTTTAATAAAACTTTGTATACATATTTACTCAATTTTTAATGTTTGACCATAAGATAAGATTTTATAGACTCTTTTTAACCTTATATAATTTTTGCTAAAGAGCAGGTTGGTGCTTTAAGAAAAACCTGTTATGCTTTTATTTTAATGTCCAGTTTACAGAAAAACTGGATGATACCTCTTTAACTTTAACCAATGTTTACACACAGAATTTTCTTTCCAATTAACATTCTAGTAACTTTTAAATTATACAACATTTCTTGCATAAATTCTTTCTTTATAACATTTTTCTCTTTCACAACTTTCACAGACAATTCTTCGACACATCTCAACTTTCTGACTTATTACAAACGTTTCTTTCTTTAAACAACCAGTTAATTTATTTCAGGACAAGAATTTACCATATACCACTCTTTTTACATAAATTCTGCCCCCCATTTTCTCCCCCTCTTTTTTTTTTCGAAGATGATAACCACTCTTTTCCAAAGCAAACTTCTTTTATGTCTGTGGACTAGACTGTCTTAAGGCCACAAGATTAGAAGTTACTATAATACATGTTACACTGTTAACTTTTAGCAAAATTTACTTTTGTTGAAAACCTTGTAAGTTTGGGATTTTAATTATCCTTTGCTATTAATAAGACCTTGTTTTGTCTAAATTAACTTAGAATTGGTATAGATGGCCTTTTTTTTTTCTTCAATTACCTGGGAGGAAACATCGATCGTCCTGTCCTGAAGGGAGTTCCTTCTAGGTCTGGCCAGGTCTTTTTATGGTAATTAAGATTTAAATCCCTTGTTAGGAAACCTGCTGGGTTAAGGGGATTTTCTTTTTTTTCTAAAAGAATAGCCCCATACTTTAAGATTTTTGAGTTAGTAAGCTACTTTTTTGCTTTTTTGATTTAGGGTAGTTCTGAACTGAACTAGTGAGGTGTGCTCAAAGTGAGGTTTCCTCCAAAAGTTATTTTTCTACTATCTTCTGTTAGCAAAGCAGTTGCCGCTACAGGTTGAATGTATTTGGGCCATCCATGGATTACTGAGTTAAGGATTTCTGATAGAAGGCTACAGGTTGTCAGTGGCCTCATTTGGCCCCTCTCTGCCTCTGTGCCCCTCTCTGCCTCTCTCTCTCTCTCTGCCTCTCTTTCTCTTCTCTCTGCCTCTCTCTCTCTCTCTGCCTCTCTCTCCTCTGTCTCTCTCTCCTTTCTGTCTCTCTCTCTCTCTCCTGTGTCTCTCTCTCTCTCCCCTCTGCCTCTCTCTACCTTCTGCCTCTCTCTCTCTCTGTCTCTCTCTCCTCTTTGCCTCTCTCTCTCCCCTGTCTCTCTCTCTCTCCCCTCTGCCTCTCTCTACCCTCTGCCTCTCTCTCTCTCTCTGTCTCTCTCTCCTCTTTGCCTCTCTCTCTCCCCTCTGTCTCTCTCTCCCCTCTGTCTCTCTCTCTCTCCCCTCTGTCTCTCTCTCCCCTCTGCCTATCTCTCTCTTTCTCTCTGTCTCCCTCTCTCTCCTCTTTGCCTCTCTCTCTCCTCTCTGCCTCTCTCTCTCCTCTCTGCCTCTCTCAGCCACTTATGCTGCAGTTCTTTCAACCACTGTGGAGGGATCTAAAACCATCTGTAACCAAGCATCTATGTACGGAAACTGGTCTGGGTGCCCTGGCTTTACAGGTTACCTTGTGCCATACCTTTGAAACAAGGGACCTGTCCAGGCTTTCTTCTGATGGTCAACCCACCTCTAATGCTGGCCAGTCTATTTTACATAAAGTTCTAAGTTTTCCTGGTGTCATAGTAACTCCATAGCCCTTAAATCCGTTTTTGAAATTTTTCAACATAGTTCCTAGTGGGGTAGGCTTTCTTTGTGCCTCACCCATGTTTCCTCGAGACAAAACACCACACTCACACCACACGCACACCACAAAACAAAGAACGGGTAAAAATGCCACACACACACACACACTTTTACAGTTACACCAAACCAGAATCAAAACCAGAATCCGAGTATCAAGAAATCCAAGCCAGGTCAAAACCAAAACCAAACTATCAAGCAATCCAAGTCAAGTCAAAAACAAAAACCAAAGTGCTGGCACTGGCACATCGTGGGTGATCAGGTCATGCTTCCACTCAAATGGACTGGGCAAGTTCCCAAGACCAGTCTTACCACGTTTTAGATGTCCGGACTCCAAGTGCCAGTTCCTTCCTGGTGTTCAGCCACTGTGTTGATCCTCCACGGGGGCCTGCCACACACTGCTCTGGCGAGGCATCCCACCAGGGCAAATGCCTACCCGGGAGTCCTCTCAGGATCCACATTGCTCGGGCTGGTCAGAGTCCCCCTCAGGGTTGTTCCACAGGGCAAGCTTAAGCCACCTAAGGAGCTGCCTTAACCATCCGCCAATCACCTCACTTCCCAGTCAGAGAACCAAGAAATGTAGCATGAAGAGCCTCAGAAAAAAACCCTCAGACACCGAGTTAAAGAAGGAAGGGGTTTATTCAGCCAGGAGCATCAGCAAGACTCCTGTCTCAAGAGCCAAGCTCCCCAAGTGCACAATTCCTGTCCCTTTTAAAGGCTCACAACTCTAAGGGGGTTGATCTTCAGTTACCAGGCCTGGAATGCAGTGCCAGGCTGTCTGGAATCTATTAACATAACCAGTTAGGTTAGATCTTCAGCTACTGGGCTTGGAATGCAGCACAGGGCTGTCTGACTGATTTTATTTCTTGTCTTTTCTTTAACTCCTACTTTTTCTTTGAGGCAGAAATTGGGCATAGGGCAATATGGGGGTGGTTTCCTTCCTTACTACCACTAATTATTTCTGGTTTTGCCTTTCCAATCCACCAAAGTCAAATTATCTAAGCTGGACTACTCACAGACATCCTCCTATGAACTTCACTGTTTTCACTACACAGAGGAGAAGCACAGGTAACTTCAGGTCTGCATCCCTGAAAATTTTCTCCCTACTGTCCTTCCCAAGGAATTCCAAGTGATCCTTGATATAAGTGCCCTGGTAGAGTTCACTGATCCCAGAAGGCCCACCCCTGGCAGGCCACTGTTTCTGAAATTGCACAGGTTTCTATAGGTAAAGTATAACATAAGCAGCAGAGCCCCCCTATAATCCTGTCCTCCAGAACCACCTTGTAGAGTACAACTCCTAGGAGAAAGTCCCTTTGGTATTTGACTTACTGTAGGTACCTTTAAATGAGGTCCAAGCTACCTGGCCATGAAGAATTCTGGTTTATCTTGTAGCAAGGGTGCATCTGCCTGTGCTTGTGCTTAAAAATACACAGCTTGAATCTCAGCCATGAAAAAATAGGTGAATTTGCTCTATTCTACTTTTTGAGCATCTGTTAGCATCAGCAGGTAGAAGAGGCCATTTTAAATCACAGGTTCAGTAAAATGGTGAGAAGCCAACAGGCATCTCAAGACACACTTAAAAGTGTTTTCTCAGCTTTTGCCTATTAGTAACCAAATTTTCTGAGCCTAGAATGTCCATGGAAGAGAGGGCCAGTGAATCAAAATTCTCTCATCCCTTCTATAACTTCTACTATTTAAAATGCTGCAAATCAACATTATTCACAACAGCTAAAACTTGGAAGCAGCCCAAATGCTCACTGATGGATGGATGGATGGGTGGGTGGATGGATAGATGGATATGCAAAATGTGGTCCATTCATACAATGACATATTATTCAGCCTTAAGAAGGAAGAAAATTCTGACAGATGCCACAACATGGATGAACCTTGAGAGCATAATCTGCAGTGAAATAACTGAACCCTTTACCATTAAGTAATGCCCATCTTTGTCTTTTTTTAATCTTTGTTGGTTTAAATTCTATTTTGCCTGAAATCAGAATAGCAACTCCTGCTGTGTTTTGTTTTCAAATTGCTTGGTAGATTTTTCTCCATCTCTTTACTGTGAGCTTATGGGTGTCATTGCATACGAGATGGTTTCTTGAAAACAGCATACTATTAGGTCTTGCTTCTTTATCCAGCTTGCCACTCTGTGCCTTTTAATTTGGGCATGTAGCCCATTTACATTCAAGATTAATACTGATATGTCCAGATTTGATCCTGTCGCAGTAAAAATATGGAATGCTTCATGAATTTTTGTGTCATCCTTGCACAGGAGCCATGTTAATCTTCTCAATATTGTTCCAGTTTTAGTACATGTGCTGCCAAAGTGAGCATGATATATGAATATTTTGCCTTTCAGAATTGCCCTGTGAGTCTTCCCTGTGAAAGAAAATGCTCTGTTGTAACTCCAAACTGGTTGGTTTTCTATCCTCCTGAAAGGGTTCTGATGATGATTTGATCACCATTTCTCTTACCCATACCAATAAGTCTATTGGAAATACTAGAGGAAGGCTCCATCTCCCACAGCTCTCTCATACAATATTTGTCAATACTTCTGGTCATCTTTCCCACACCCATGCTTATAGCTATATCTCTGATGCTCTATGGAGCCAATGCTGGCCTCGCAGAACCAGAAAAATTGGTCAAATTGCCTCAAGGCAGTTTCTCCAAGAATAAGAATTAGACTCAGCTCTTCAGAATGAAGTAGGAATTAGACCAGATTGTGGGGAGACCCTGTGAGGGACATTGTCAATTAGTATCTCCTGACTAATATAGGTCCCACATGGGGGATTCTTGAAATTGTAAACAACACTTTCTTTTCAAGAATCTATATCCACTCTTGGGATGGTACTTTTATGCCATTATTAACTTTAGCCCCTCCTGAAACTATGGTACAGTTGCCACTTTCTCATGGAAAGCCAAAATTCTACTGGGAGCAGGATAAATATGCCATTTCCACTTGACAAGAGAAGCTTGTTGAGTACACCTTGTCTTTTTAGCCATAGACTCTGTATCAGTCCATTTTCCCACTGCCATAAAGAGTATCTGAGTCTGGGTAATTTACAAAGGAAATAGGTTTAATTGACTCACAGTTCCACATGGCTGGGGAAGCCTCAGGAAATGTACAATCGTGGCAAAAGGCAAAGGGGATACTTTATTCCCCATTCCACTGCCAGAAGAAAAGCTGTTTACTCAACTGCCCAATGAGTCCTCATGTAGCTGAGATTTCCCAAAATACCTGACCTGATTTACTGGCACTGCTAAACTGAAAGCTGATGGTGTGCACAAGGCTTCTGCAGGTGTTCAACCTCACTGCCACCTGTTCCAAACTCAAAAGAGATGTGGTTGGTCAACTCAGTGAGCAGATCTGAAGCCATTCCCAGGATCAGTCAAATACTGCCCTTGATAAACCTTGCTATACTTTTACTGACTTTTGACCTGTTGCAAAAGGCTAGAGGTTTAACCAGCCACTTGAAAAACTATGGACTGTCAGATTAAAGACACATTTCTTTGGTGCCATGTAGTTTGAAAACAAATTCAGGCAGCTAATTGAACTATTGCAGCCATTTTTGTAGATGGCCATGCCAAGTGTACATTCTCTGATGAAACCAGCTGGAATTACACTGCTGATCAAGACTGCATTGTCCAGGTTGCCACAATCACTACATGGATTCACCACCTTACTAATTCATGACACATCCATGATCACAAGCTGAACATAAAGGAAAGAATTCTGTTCTTGAGGCAGAGGCCAACCAACACATGCCAGACTTGGGACTCTTGCCAAAAGTTGGGCCATTATCCAAAGATGGAAGAAACCAAATTGCATGGTACTTTGTCTCTGCCCAGTCCTTACAGAAACTATGGTGATGTGCAACTTAGGAGTGGTTATGAGGCTTTCAAGTGTTTTAAGGGAACTCAATCTTTAATTGATGTAACCTGTAAGTGATGACTGCGGAAATCTACTCAAAATGGTCACTCTCAATTCCTTAGGGGAACTTCCTGGGGAGATAACTGACCCATTATTCACAAGTATTATGTGGGAATTTTTACCTACAATGGAAGTCATTCACTTAGAAAAAGTGGTACAAATTTGTGAAATTAAACTAATGTGTGTAGGATTGTTCATATTTTCATAACCGGCCAGCATGATCTGATACAAGTCACCATAGTTTGTTTCTGTCACTACCATGGTCTTGGCAATCATATAGAGTATATCTGAAAGACGTGGGTACAAATTTCAGATATGCCACTTAAGAAAGGAATGACCTTGGGAAAATCAGAACCCTTCAGTGTTACAGGTTTTTTTTTTTACTTCTCTGAAAATGTGGATAATGTTACTGAAACTCACAAATGAAACAAACATATCTGTCACAGTTCCTGGTATACTATAAAAGCTCTTATAAATAAAGTTCATTTTTCCGGCTTTACTTAAAATTTTGGACGATACAATTGTAAGTTTGTTCATTATTTTTCTTTGGTCATTTATTATTTGAAATTTTAAGCTTCTAACTGTCCTTAAGATGGGATAAAAAGGAGAATCTTGCCTGTGCTACCTTATGTACTGAAAATAAATTGGACTTTGAAATCTACAATCCTAGATATAAATTGGGCATTCAGAACCCTTTATCAGTATAAGGTTAAGTAACCATGTTACTTAAATTCCTGAATCTAAAAAAACTTAGGGATTTGAACTAAATGATCAATACTGTACTAGTGCTATTTCTAAGAGAATAAATGTCTTTTTGAATACTGTGTAAGAGATTACTGAAGTATCTTTAAAAGCATTGAAATGTATTATATTTTAAAATATTTGGAAAGGGTATCTTTTAAAAATACATTGCCTATGTTCTTGACTTCTTAAACAAAGTATTTGGAATAAATTTAACCATGTATTGGTAAACCAGGATTATCATTTTAGTCATTAAAAATTATAATGTGATATAATATTCATTTATGCCTCATTATTTTTAGATTTAAAGTTATAGAAACGTAACAACCCCTTCCAAAACCTGAAAAACATAACTCTCTCACTGTTAAAATTAAGTTAGAAAAATAGTTGTCAAATTTTATTTTTTTATTCTGAAAAATAACTGAGAGTTTGTTTATGTTTATGTTAGGTAAAAGACTATGTATCTTTGATAAGATTTCTTACATTTTTACAATTACTTATAGAAATGATGCACATTATAAATTATTATCAAATGCTAAACTTGGTATTTTTACAAATATAGAGAAGGCAGTGGGATTCTTGTGGACAAAGTTTGTTATCAAACTGAACTGGAGTCTGTTTGCCCAACACGCTAAGACTAGATATCCACCCTAGGATTTGCAGTGGGAGAAAAGAAGGCCTTTATTTGCAGGCCATCAAGCAAGGAGGATCAGGCAGCTAATGCTTAAGTCCCAACCTCCCAAATGGCTTTCAGGTGGAGGTTTTAAAAGGCAGAGAGGCAGAGGTTATAGGCAAAGTCATAAATCAAGACATGGAGACTACCCACTGGTTTGACTTGAAAAGGCAGGACATCTCATAGGGTAGAGCGGCACAGTTCATAGGTAGATTCAAATATTTTCTGATTTGTAATTGGTTAAAAAGGTGATGCTTTGTCTAAAATTTGGGATCAGCAGAAAAGAATAGCTCTGGCTTGTGGGTGGGTGAGCCTTCTCTAGGTCCCTCAGGAAGAAATTCATAACAAAGAATGGTGGTCAGAGTTTAGTCTTCTGTTCCTCCTTACCTGAGGTCTGTGTGCCAGTGGACCAATTTGGTGGGGATCTGGATTTCTAAAAAACAACTCAAGGAAATGTGTTAAGATGTTGTCTTTGGTTTCTATAGAGAACAAAACATCTCCTGACTCTAACTTCCTTGGCTATTGTTTTAAGTTGCTATTACCATCTTGTTTATCAAGTTGCTCATTTAATTCCTAGGGCTAGCTAGATGTCTGCAATTTCCCTAGGAGGAATTCAAGATTTGTCTTTATTTCTGTGCCTGGTGGGGGGATGCCTGGTAGGCCCATAAGAGGGTCTCTGCTCCATCTCAAGCTCTAAGACATGAGCACTATATGAGCTTCTGAAAGGTGTTAGGTCCCTGTCAGTGAAGTGAAGTGAATGTGCTGTAAGCACTGGCCCAGCTCCGGCTCCATATGTAGATTTTCACATATTAATTCCTCCAATCATGAAGTATATTCTGGAAGTTCTTTTCAGATACACAGCCAAAGACTGAAATTAATTTCTAGGAGCTACGTTAGAGCTTCTAGGGGAAGAAAAGATGGGCATTGTATGCTATTTCATTTGAGTCTATTATCACATTGTTTACTTAGTTGTTATTCAGATTTATTCAGAAGCAGATAATCACATTTCCTAAAACGAAACATCTAATTGCCACGAGTGTGGCATTTGAGCGGCTGTGGCAAAATCTTTTCCAGATCACAATGAGCTAAACCCTCTTTTATTTCCTACTTTAATGGCTTGTGGTAGGAATAAGCCTTTGAATTGTTAAAGAAAGTGGACTTGGTGCATGATGATTTGAATTATACTCCCTAGATGGAAATGTCTGACCAGCACAAGAAAGACTGTTTTGAAATAGAAAAAGTAAATGTAAAAGTGGTAACAAATACTATTTTATTAAGCATTTGAGGCAAGATACATGCCTATTAATAATCTCTATTTATACCGTGTCCTTTTTACAGAGTTCAAGGCATTCCATTGCTCACATCTCCAAGTCACTTAGGTAGAGTCACTGAAGGAATCACCTACTTAAGTAGTCTTCTTGGTTCTATATATTGAGAACTATCACTGTCCCTTCCCAGCTCCCCAGCTGTATAAATTAGAACAATTTCTTCATCTAAAGCAAAGTAGTGAAATAATTTGCCCATTTTTCCATTACACCCATAAAAAGTAACTAATCTGATTCCAGAAGCTCAGGTATTTTCTTATCATTTTGCTGAAAAATGTTCATGTGGTATTTACTTACTCCAAGTTCAAAGGTAGAGGCCACCACTCTCCTTGCCATAGTAGAGGGTCCAGAGAGAAACACAAGGGATTTGTTTAAAGAAGAAGGTCCAGTCAGTATGCAGCTAAGGGCTTTTTACATAGTTGTGGCAATTGATTGAAACTCCTCTTCTGAAAAAGAAAGTTTCTTGTCCCATGTTTAGCTAAACAAAATTAGCCTAAGGATGAAGCTAATAGAGAAAAGAGATAATCAAAAGAAAAGCAGGAAAAAAGTGTAGAAGTCTCATCCTGTATTTTAGTGAGAAGATTCAGTCCATTTTATCATTTAGATATAGTCTGTGTTAAATTTTCTAATACAGCACCCCATAGAAGCCACTGAAATATTTTAGTTAGAGATGTATTATTACATCTTATGCTTTAGAAAGGCCATTCAAGTCACAGGTATAGAAAGAATTTGAAAAGAACAAGGTTATAGTCAGATGACTCTCAAAAACCTACTGCAGTAGCCCACATGAGAGATGAGGAAGGCCTCTTGCGGGCAATTGATTGAAGAGTCAGATATCAGACATAATGAGAAAATGAAACCTATAAGACTTAATGATTTTTGGCCTGGGAAGGAGGGTTCAGCCAAAAAGGAGATTATTATATGGTTATCAATAGATTACAGGGCTTTGGATATAATGTCTTTCATTAGACGGGAAATTCTAGGGGTCAAATAACTTTCAAGAAGATTTGGCCGAGGCAATTTTGAAGCAAGTGTAAAAAATATAAATGGAGATGTCAAATAATCACTGGATATACTCAAAGTAACTTTGGGGGTTAGAACCATGAATTTGAGAAACACAAACACCTAGAGAGTCATAATAAAAAAAGAATAAAATTCAGAAAGAGAACTAATATTTTATGTATGGGCAGAGGAAAAATTATCCAATAAATGAAATACAGGAAATTCCCTGGAAAGTAATAGGAGAACTAAGAGGACGCTGTAACAGAAATCAAGGAGAGAAAGAATGACCAGGAGAGAATGAGTAAGATATTACCAATAAACAGAAAGTAAGAAAAGATATCAGCCATTTATTTACAAATGTTTATTAAGGTCTGACGTTGTACGAGGTGCTGTTCTGGGGGCTGAGAATACATAGTACAACAGGAAAAGCTCATATTCTAACAGAGCTCACAATCTGTGTGGGCCATTTCTCACATTGAACAAAGCAGTTTCAGTGCAGTGATGAGGGGAAAGTCTCAGCAATATGGTAGTGGGAGTGGAATGAAAGGAAGTAAAGACCTCAATTGTAGCCTGAAACATTGAGAATCATGGCCCTAAAGCAGAGGATAAGAAAAAGTAAGTTGTTCTGGAGAGACCCATCTCAAGACATCTTATATTTTTGAGGTGAGAATGATCATATTTAGGCTGTGGGACAAAAGAACACTAGAGAAAAAACATTTCAAAATACAGATAAGAAACACAACAACAAATTTGGCTCAGAGGGTTCTAGTGGACATGGAATAAGTTTGAATCAAGAGCACAAATGGAGAATTGTGTTCTGAATAAGATATGAAAGAGGTGGTTGACTTTTTTTTTTTTTTTTTTTTTTTGAGACGGAATCTCACTCTGTCGCCCAGGCTGGAGTGCAGTGGTGCGATCTTGGCTCACTGCAACCTCCACCTCCCAGGTTCAAGCAATTCTCCTGCCTCAGCCTCCCGAGTAGCTGGGACTGCAGGCGCAGGCCACCACGCCCAGCTAATTTTTGTATCACCTGACCTCAGGTGATCTGCCCGCCTCGGCCTCCCAAAGTGCTGGGATTACAGGCATGAGCCACAGCACCTGGCCGTGGTTGACTATTTCTGACCTTCCCAATCAGACACAGGAGTTCTGCTCCACTGTCTTACTGAGTCATGTGATTTTTAAAGTGTTTTTCTCCCATAGGAACTGTAAGCACTGAGCAACCAGCAGCGGTGTATATCACCTGTGTTTCTCCAATAACACAAGCAGTGGCTGAAACACACTACATGCTTAACAAATATGTGCTTACAAGTGCTCCCAGGGGAGAACTGAACATTCCCAACTTAAAGGACGATATTCTAAATAAAGGTAAAATAACTTCCAAATAACTTCAAATAGTTCTTGGTTTATTTCCATGAGATCTCAAGAGCCTATACCACAAATAAAACACTTCAGAGTTATAGTAGGGTTATCTTTCTAGCTTTTATTGAGTTTTCTTAGCATTATAGCTGTTATATAAATAACATATACCAACAACTCCTTATTCCCTCAACTTACAACGATGGCAATTATCATCTGCTTTAACTGAATAAAGTTCCTTCAAATATGAACTATTTTTTTGCAGTTAACTCTTTAATAAGTGTGAAAAGTGCTCATTAATGAGATCTCAAGTTTAACACTACTACTTTTAGTACATATAGCATTAGCTTTTCCAGATCATAAATAGATATAGAAATCCCATAGAGTCCTTTGTATTGATAATAAAGTTGGAACTGCCTTTCAGTTAAGCAAGATTTCTCTAATGACTCACTTCATCAATATTTTCCATGAAGGAATGGAATTTAAAACACAAATTGAGTCCCTTTTCATAAGCGCAAAATAGCAATCACCATTCTTGCCCTTTGTCTCTTCCTCAAATGTCTCATAATCATATAAATCACATAAATAATCATATAAATAAAGAAAAACAGTTCATGACCCAGAACAAGAGTGATAAAATGTCTTACTCTTAAAAATCATACCAGCACTTTGGGAGGCCGAGGCGGGCGGATCACAAGGTCAAAAGATCAAGACCATCCTGGCTAACATGGTGAAACCCCGTCACTACTAAAAAAAAAAAAAAAAATACAAAAAATTAGCTGGGCGTGGTGGTGGGCACCTGTATTCCCAGCTACTTAGGAGGCTGAGGCAGGAGAATGGCGTGAACCCGGGAGGTGGAGCTTGCAGTGAGCGGAGATCGCGCCACTGCACTCCAGCCTGGGTGACAGAGCGAGACTCCATCTCAAAAAAAAAAAAAAAAAAAAAAAAATCATATTGCAGGCTGGGCACGGTGGCTCATGCCTGTAATCCCAGCACTTTGGGAGGCCGAGGTGGGTGGATCACGAGGTCAGGAGTTTGAGACCAGCCTGGTCAACATAGTGAAACCCCATCTCTACTAAAACTAAAATACATAGCCAGGCATGGTGGTGCACACCTGTAGTCCCAGCTACTCAGGAGGCTGAGGCAGAAGAATTGCTTGAACCCTGGAGGTTGTGGTGAGTGGAGATCATGCCACTGCACTCCAGCCTGGGCGACAGAGCGAGACTCTGTCTCAAAAAAAAGAAAAAAACACTCGTATTGTAGAGAGACCTTGAGTACCTTTGAAGTTCAAGTTACTGAACTTTTCTCATCCTTAGTTAATAAACTTGCTCTTAGTTCTGAAGGAAAGGACAGTAGAAAAAAATATATAAATATGTAGCCACCACCACTGATCCCTACAGAAGAGATTATACCATCTATTAAGAATAAATTACTAATATTTTGTACCGCATTTCAAATCCAAATACAAACAAAAATTAATGTGATAAGTAATTATATCCAAGCCCATACCAATGATCCATTTAATGTATGTGTTTGTTAGAAATACAAAATTTGTTCTGCAAGAGTTGCCATTATGTTACCATATTACACCCTCCATTGATCTTTTTGTATATGTTATGTATTAGAAATGTGTTCCACTATAAGTAACAGAAAACCAAATTTATAATGACTCGCTAATAGAGGCTTATTTTTCTCACATAGTAAGAAAGTAGGAGATAGCTGTAGTTGGCTCAGCAGCTCTATAACATCATCAAATAATTGTTTTTTCTGTCTCTTCTGTTGTGACATCTTTATCATGTGATCTTTTCCTATGAATACCAGATTATGATCAAAATATGTCTACTGCAGTTTCAGATATCCTATCTGCTTTCAAGACTAAAAAATATTAGGAGGAATGATGTTGGCCACCACTGCTCCCTATTTAAGAAAGGAAACTTCTAAATATACAAGTTTTTAGGTCTCAATGGCCATTCTTAACTTCAAAAAAGATTAGGAAAGCAAAGAAGAGGATTCTAGCAATTGGATTAAACCAAACATTATGCATTACTCAGGACTGTGATCATTGTTCTCCCAAATTCAGAATAGAAGTACAATAATAAAAAAGAAGGGAAGACATGGATTTGGGGTAGGTAACTACCATCTGGAACAGCACATAATAAAGTCTCTATTGCCTAGCATGTTTAGAAAATGCAATCTTACTTTGTCATACTTTTTCTAGTGAACAAAAAAGATTAGGTAGTAACAACTCTACTATAAGCCTCTCAAGAGCAAGGACTGTGATTTCCTCATTACTTTGTTACAACAAAGATACAATAACCAACATGAAGTGGATATGCAATAACATTTGTGAATGGATAGAAAAATGGACAATGGATGGATGGATAAATCCATATGCGAATTACTGACACCAACATAAAGTGGATATGCAATAACATTTGTGAATTGATAGAAAAATAGACAGATGGAAGGATGGATGGATGGATAAATCCCTATGTGAATTACTGATTTTGAAAAGCTTGAATGCCATAATGTCATTCAGTACTAAAATTACATTGAATATAGATAATATTTTATGACATACTATGTAGTCGTGATACTGTCATGCTTTTTTTTTTTTTTTTTTTTTGAGACGGAGTCTCGCTCTGTCGCCCAGGCTGGACTGCAGTGGCGCAATCTCAGCTCACTGCAAGCTCCGCCTCCTGGGTTCACGCCATTCTCCTGCCTCAGCCTCCCGAGTAGCTGGGACTACAGGCGCCCGCCACCACGCCCAGCTAATTTTTTGTATTTTTTTAGTAGAGACAGGGTTTCACCGTTTTAGCCAGGATGGTCTCGATCTCCTGACCTCGTGATCCGCCCGCCTTGGCCTCCCAAAGTGCTGGGATTACAGGCGTGAGCCACCGCGCCCGGCCGTGAGTTTGTTTTAATTGCAAGGCAAATCCGTAGGAGGAAACAAAACACCATAAATTTCATGATTCTTTGCAAATACAAACCATAAAAGTAATGGAAAATTCAATAGTACCATAAAAATGTAAAGTGGTATTGGACTTTAGAGAACAATTAATCTAATCTCTTCACTTTAATGAAAAATAAACTAATGTCTAAACCTATATAACCGATGGCAGTCAAACTAACCCACATATTCAATGGCATGTGTTTAATCCATTTCATCACACTGTAAAATTTTGGAAAGTACACAATTGTTTTTGACTGAGTTTATCATTATGTCCATCAGCTATATAAGCAAATTTATGCATAAAAATGTAAGTTAATCCAAAACCAGCTTGACTGACTTTCATTGACTACTTTGACTTGCCAAATGGCAAACAGGGTTATGAATATTAAAACTGCCCATATTAAATGGGTGTTGTTGGCTTTTATTATGCATACATTATTATTCATATAAAAAATTAATGGTGGAAGTTTATATATATACTCACCTATTAAATTCTAATATGCATACTGTAGACATTTAACTGGGGTGAAGTCTGTCAGAGCTATACTGCAGCTGGTTAATATCAAAGATATGGCTATTTATCTTCAAGTTAATTGCAAATCACTTTTTTCTGAAACTGGATAGCATTGCTGCAGTTTTACAGTCATTTTAAATTATTCCAAATTGCATGTGTGGTTGCCACAGACTAGAAAAAATATTTAATATTTCCATTGAAATGTTATGGGCTAATCATGTAAAATGATATGTGTTAATAACAAACATTGTCCTACCATGCCAACTTCCAAATTTGAGTATCAAATATTTTCTTAATTATATGGTACTATATGTGGGGTGACACAGTAAATATCATGGAATGTTTTCTTTAATTAGTAATATGCAATTTACTAGAAATTGAGTGGAGATTTTACTGTTATTCTTTGGAAGGGTATCTCTGTAGGTTTTATTTAAAAAATTAGCTGAGCAATATTTTATTGAACATAGTAAAACAAGTCTCATATAGTTTATTCTAATGAAAATTAGCTGAACATTATCTTATGAAACTTATCAAAGCAAGTCTCATACAGTTTAACAAAATCATAGCTGTTTTTTGTGTGCAAAGTTATAGCCATGTTTTCTAAAAATTCGACATTAGATACTTATATTAGCTTGTACAGCACTCTAAAATTTCTTAAATTATTAGTGTCAATGGCAATAATATACTTCTTTTAAACTCTTTTATGCTTCAAACATAGTTAAAATATTAATTTTGAATGAAGAGATAGGAAGCTATACTCTACATTCAGCAGTCTCCATTGTACAAAGAGAAAAACAGACGGCTGGGGCATTTGGTAGAGCAAAGCTGCAACCTAGAGGTATATTGAGTAGATCCATATCATTGTTATCAAGGGGGTGAAAAGAAAGCACATAGTAGGAGAGGAAAATGAGAAAATATGAGTGGGGAAAAAAAAGATGCAGAAAGTGGCACCCAAGTGGGAGACCCAGTCACCTTGTCTCCACAGAGAAGGTGAGCTTTGTGACAAAGACCCATACATTTCAGCTCTCAGCACTGTGTGCAGGGAAGAAGGGACAGGGAGAGAAGGTAATTTTGTTTGTATTTTTGTGATGATTTGATTAATCTTCCTTTCCTCAGACTCTGTTCAACATTGTGTCCCTAATCAGGTGTTCAATGACTGGCAAAGAGTTGTTTCTTAATGTTTTGTGGATGACTAAGTGAGTAAGTAAATGTGTGTTAATCACAAAAGAATAGGTTAGTACCTTGTTATACAAAGTGTGGTCCTGAAACCAGCAGCAACATTGCCATCTCCTTCCTGCTTGCTAGAAATTCACAATCTCAAGCTTCATCTAAAACTGACCAGATCAGAAACTACATTTTTTAAAAATCTCCCAAATGATTCCTATGCATTTTAAAGAAGCATTGGGCTATATTTTGCATGTCCTCCAGACTTAAAGCAGGCAGACTTTTTAAAGTCCAGCAAAAATAATAGGCATAATTTTATGAAATGAGCCTCTGGGGTGGAAGATACTACATAAAAACAAAAGAAAATTAGGAAGCTCTAGGAAATAAAATCTGATTGTATACATAATCCAAATGTTGAGTAAGAAGTGCGGTTCTTAACAACAAACAAACAAGCAAAAGTACCAAAATGGTGTTGGACAAGGAGTTCTCTGCAAGTGTGGGTTTTTAAAATAAGTATAATAGTTAATATTTAACGAATTTTCTGTATACCAGACACTATTCTTGGCTCTTTATATAAATTAATTTGTTTAATTAATTATGCAAAACCCATGCAATAGGAGGAATGTTGTCTCCATTGCATAGATGCAAACGCTGAGGCAAAAAGAAGTTTAATAGTCCAAATTTAAACAGTAGATAAGTTGTGAAGGCAATATTTCAAAATCCAAAATACCACTTCTCTACCAGTTATGAAACAATGGAACTGACTTCTAACTATAGCATTTCATAGTCTTAAGACAAAAATGAGACTTACTACAAGTCTACGTATAAGAAAAAACTATTATTTTTCTTTCTTTTATTTTCTTTTGAAATGAGTTTAAATGGAAGAAGATAAAGAAAGATAGTCTCAGTATCTGGGACCAAAGGTATAATTGCTGATGAATAAATAAAACAGTAAAACTCCTCAATTGTTATTTTGTTTTTTCTCTGACACTGGCAATAATCTTAGCAATGAAAACAGTAGAACAGGTATTCTTAGAAAGGCATATAAACTCACGATAGGTGAAAGATTTAAAAACATATTCTAAATGATTTAAAACATATTCTAAAAAACATGTTTATATTCAAATTTAAAATATATAAATGAGACACAGATAAATTACATCTTATGGTATTAAGGAAACCTAAAATAAAAAACATTAGAAAACTATAAATAATCATTTAGGAAGCATATTAAAAGGGAAAGATTTCTAAAAACTAAAAAATGAGGAAGAAGTGAACTATGTAAATTTAAAAATATAATTTACAAATATCTAGGCAATAACTCCAAGAAAGGTATTAGAAAATTGTATATTAGATAATGAAAAAGCCATATATATTATATGAACATTCATTTCAGGTTTGTTTATAACAGCAAAAAATTAGAAACAGCCTAAATTTCTAATGATAAGTTCTTATGTAAATTATGTTATTTCTACATTATAAAATTTTTAGCCTATGAAGATGAATATGTAAAAAACTATAAAACCAGGTAATGTTTAAAATATGTAGTAATTCTATGTGTGTTTACATGTAAATTTATTAAAAACTAAAATGTCAGAAAAAGTTCATTGAAGACAAAACGTATAGAAAATATCTCATATTTATAGAAGAATTTGTGGGGATTTTTAGCATCTGACTTTTTTAAACCTATGTTTCTTGAAACTTATAGAATGGACATGTATTATTATCTTTAATTTGTTTAAAATCCTGTAAAGCAACATCTATAGAAGAGACGGTTTGTGAGTAGCCCTCACCACCCCATATGTGCTCATATCCAGTGAGTCCCACAGGTTTCTCTGGGAGTTAACAGATTAGGAGACAGTAGAACCAAGGCAGCCATTGTGAAATTACACCAAATAAGCAAACTAGGAATAGAAAGAACTTCCTGAACCTAATAAAAGGGATCTCAACTTAGTTTACTGGGACTTTCAGTCACAAATGAAGATTTATTTTTATCAAAAGCTTTTCTGCATTTACTGAAATGATCATATGATTTTCTCCTATAACCTGTTACTATGATGGATGACATTATTTCATATCAGCATGTCAAACCAACCTTGCATTGTTGCAATAAACACCACTTGCTTATGATGCAGTATGCTCTAAGTATATAATGGAATTTCAAACATTGTCTTAGTATCCTTTTAATATTCTAGAATATGTGGTGATAATTCCTATTTCATTCCTGATATTTGTGATTTGTGTTATCTCTTTTTATTTCTTTGATCAGTTTAGCTAGAGGTTTAATAAGTTTTAAATATATTCTTACTTTCCTCCATTGTTTGCCTTTTTTTCTTTCTTACTTATTTTTCTTTCTTCTCTTCTTACCTTACATATTTCCTTCCTTCTACTTTCTTTGGATTTAGCTGCCTGATATAAAACCTCAGATTATTGATATTTGATCTTTTTTATTTTTTATATAAACATTTAAACTTACAGGATTTTGCTCCAAAAAAAAGCATTAGATACACCACACAATTTTTGATGTGGAAAAAATTTTGATGTTATAATTTAATTATTTTTACTGTCAATTATCAATTACAAGACTCAAGTATTATTGATTTCTAATAGAATTCTGTGGGATCCGAAGACATTTAAACATTTTATATTAATTGAGATCTTCGATTTATGGTATAGAATGCTGAAAAGAGTATTATGCTCACTCTTACAACAACAACAAAAAGCTCAGACAATCTTTAAAATTATAACTTTACTGGGATACAATGGATAGCTGATGTCACAGAGCAAACAAAATCTCAGAATCTGGTCTATGCAAACACAAATAGAGCCAAGGACAAACAGGACCCAAGTACTTGTTTATCTGGAGCAGATGCCAGACACCAAACCCTAATAAGCAAATAAGAATTTAGTCAAAAATGTCAAGGAATATCTGAAAGCAGATTGTGGGGTAGCATAAGAGAACAGAACCCTTAGGAGCCACAGATACCAGGAAATTTATACTCACTTTGTCTCTTTTCTACACACCTTACCACATGCAGATGAAAAAGACTGGAGAAGGAAAGCCCTAAGAAAATCTTCCTAGTGGTACAAGCCTGGGGAAAGGAAGAGCAGCTAATTTAAGAAAGGCACAAAACTTCACACAGATCATCCTACCTAATTTCTCCTATGAAAGAAACATAAAAGGATGAATGTATAATTGCAAATAAGGGGATGAAACAGGAAAATTAATATTACTCCTGGAATGGAGAAGACATACATTCTGGGCCCAGACTATTAGAATTCTCCTACAGCTGAGGAAATGACAGAATAGTTTAGAAGCAACTGGGCACAGTGGCTCACGCCTGTAATCCCAGCACTTTGGCAGTTCACTTGAGGCCAGTGGTTCGAGACCAGCCTAGCCAACATGGTGAAATCCCATCTCTACTAAAAATACAAAAATTAGTCAGGCATGGTGCTGCATGCCTATAAGCCCAGCTACTTGGGAAGCTGAGGCACAAGAAATGCTTGAACCCAGGAGGCAGTGATTGCAGTGAGCTGAGATTGCAACACTGCACTCCAGCCTGAGTGACAGAGCAAGACTCTGTCTCCAATAAAAAATAAAAATAAAAATAAATTAAGAAAAAAGAATTTAGGAGGTCTCACCTCTGAGATCCAGGGACATACCACCTGCCTAATAATTAGTCTCAATCAAAAAACATAAAATGCTTCCCACACACTCCAGTAAAAGTTGAGTAATAAATAAAAATAAAAATAGTCTAATGCTAGAGAATAAAAAAGAGAAAACTTTCTAGGAAACTATAATCTACGGAAAGAAGAATGATAGGGGAAGTTGAATTCTAGGATAAACGAAAGATAACTACAGCAAGATATAAAGCAGGATAACTATAGCAACAAAAAAACTCAAATCAAGCTAAACTCCTAACTAGGCCTTGATACCAAGTTTAATTAAATCCAAAGTAAGGCACAAAAAGAAATAAATAGAAATTAGAGCAGAAATCAATGCAATTCAAAGAAGGTAATCAATGGAGAAAATAAATAAAAACAAAAGCTGATTCTTTGAAAAGATAAATAAGTTTGATAATTCTCTAGCCAGGCTAACAAAGAAAAAAGAGGTCAGTAATTACTAACATCAGATATGAAAGAGGGGAGGTAACCACAGATCCAACGGACATTGAAAGGCAGTAAATGAATATTATGAACCACTAATAATCTAGATGACAGGGACCGATTGCTTAATAGACACAATCTGCCAAAACTTACACAAGAAAAAATAGACAATTTGAATAAGCCTATAACTATCAAAGAAATCAAATCAATGATTAATAACCTTCCAAATAGAAAATATCAGTCCCAGATGGGTCTGCTGATAAATTACATAAAAAATTTAAGGAATAAATTATACCAATTCTTCATAATCTCTTTCAGAGGATGAAAGTCCTAACTTATACTTTGAAGCCAGCATCAGCCTAACACCACAACCAGACAGATATTGTACAAAAATAAAACTACAGACCAATACCTCTCATAAACACATATGCAAAAATGCTCAACAAAATATTAGCAAATCAAATCCAACAATGAATAAAAAGAATTACACACCATAACAAATGGGATTTATCTCAGGTATGCATGGCTGGTTCAGTATTTGAAAGTCAATTAATGTATTCTATAATATTAACAGACTAAAGAAGAAAAATCATGTGATCATATCAATAGATTCAGAAAAAACATTTGAAAAAATCTAACAGTAATTCATGATAAAAACTCTGAGTAAACTAGGAACAGGAGCGAAAAACTTCCTCCATTTGATAAAGAATATATATAAAAAACTTACAGCTAACATCTTACATAATGGTGAGAAACTAGAAGCTTTTTTACCAATATCAAACACAAGGCAAGACATCCCCTCTCACTACTCCTTTTCAACATTGTACTGGAAGTTCTAGATAATGAAATAAAACAATAAAAGGAAATAAAAAGTATATTGTTTAAAAGGAAAGAAATAAAACCACCTTTATTCCACAGGTGACATTATTTTTTATGTATCAACTCTGAAAGAATTGACAAAATGCTCCTGGAACAACTAAGCAATTATAGTAAGGTGGCAAGACACAAGGTTAACATACAAAAGTCAATTGCTTTCCTATATAACAACAATTAATAAAATACCATTAATATTAGCACCCCAAAACTAAAATACTAACAAACATGTCTAACAAAATATTACAAGACTTATATGAGAAAAACCACAAAACTCTGATAAAAGAAATCAAAGAAGAACTAAATAAATAGAGAGATATTTTATGTTTGTGGATAGGAAGACTCCATGTTGTCATGATTTCAATTCTCCCCAACTTGATCTATAGATTCAATGAAATTCCAATCAAAATCCCATCAAATTATTCTGTGGATATCAACAAACTGATTCTAAAGCTTATATAAAGAGGGAAAAGACCCATAACAGCCAACACAATATTGAAAGAGAAGAACAAAGTGGGAGGACTAATATTACTCAACTTCAAGACTTACTGTAAAGCTATCTAATCAATATACTATAGCATTGGCAAAAGAATAGAACAATAGATCAATGGAACAGAATGAGATTCCTGAAATAGAGACCCACATACAGTCAACTGATCTTTGATGAAAGAAGAAAGCAATATAATAGAGCAAAGATAGCCTTTTCAACAAATGATACTGGAACAATTGGATATCCACATGCAAAAATAAATAAATAAATCTAGATACCAACCTTACACCATTTACAAAAATTAATTCAAATGTATCACAGACCTATATGAAAAACACAAAACTATAAACTTCCTAGATGATAGAATAGGAGAAAATCTAGATGACTTTGGGAATGGCGGTGACTTTTTACATGACCCTAAAGGCATGATTCATGAAAGAAAGAATTTCTAAGCTGGATTTCACCAAAATTAAAAATATCTGCTGTGTGAAAAGATAATGTCAAAAGAATGAGAAGACAAGCCATAAACTGGGAGAAAATATTTGCAAAAGACACAACTGATAAATATTATCCAAAATATACAAAGAACTCTTAAAACTCAACAGTAAGGAAAACAAAAACACAATTGAAAAATGGGCCAAAGACCTTAACAGACACTGCACCAAAGAAGATACACAGATGGCAAATAAGCACGTGTAAAGATGTTTCACATCTTACGTTATCAGGAAAATGCAAATTAAAACAACAATGAGATACCACCACACATGTATTAGCATGGCCAAATCCAGAACACTAAAAACAAATCTGTTGAGGATGTGGAGCAACAGAAATTCTCATTCATTACTGGTAGGACAGCTACTTTGGAAGACAGTATAGTAGTTTCTTATAAAACTAAACATACTCTTCCCATAAGATCCAGCAATTGTTCTCTTTAATATTTGCCCAAAGGAGTTAAAAACTTATGTGTATGCAAAAACCTTCACATAGATGTTTATAGCAGCTTTTCTCATAATTCCGTAACTTGGAAGCAAACAAGCGGTCCTTCAGTAGGTGAATGGATAAATAAACTGTGGTACATACAGACAATAGAATATTACTCAGGACTAAGAAGAAATCAGCTATGAAGCCATGAAAAGATACAAAGGAAACTTAAATGCATATTACTAAGTGAAAAAAGCTAATCTGAAAAGTCTACATACAGTATGATTCCAACTATATGACATTCTGGAAAAGGCAAAACAACAGAGTCAGTAAAAAGATCAGAGATGTCCAGGAGTTAGAAGGAAGGAGAGGGATGATAAATTGGTAGAACACAAAGGATTTTTAGGGCAGTGAAACTTCACTGTATGATAGTATAATAACAGACATATGTCATTATACACTTTTCCAAATCCTTAGAACATGCAACACCATGAATGAACTCTTGCATAAACTATGGAATGAACCCTAGTGTAAATTATGTTAACTGCATGGGAGCAGGAGATAAATGGAAATCTCAGAAACTTCCTCTTAATATTGCTATGAATAAGAAACTGCTGGAAAAAAAAATAGTTTTTAAACAAAGAAACTTCTTGGCTAGGCATGATGGCTCACACCTAAAATCTCAGCATCCCAGTTCTTTGAGAGATCAAGGGAGGAGGATTGCTGGAGGCCAAGACCAGCCTGGGCAACATAGCAACACCCTATAATTTTTTTTTTAAATTACCTGGGTGTGATGGCACAGGCCTGTAGTCCTGGCCACTCCAGAGGCTGAGGCGGGAAGATTGTTTGAGACCAGAAATTTGAGGTTACAGTGAGCTATGATTGCACCGCTGCACTCCAGCCTGGGTGACACAGCAAGACCCTGTGTCTAAAAAAAAGGAGAAATCTCTCAACTCATAATCTAAACCCAGCAAGAATGCTTTCATAAAAATGGAGAAGAAAGATATTTTACACATGAACAAAAACACATAATTCATTGCCAGCAGAAGTATGTCACAAAAAATGTGAAACAAAGTTATTCAGATAGAAGTAATATGGCGCTGAAACAGGAGGAGTTCCCTTATCTCCCTCGCGGGCGCGCGGTGTGGTTCACATCTAGGGGGGAGAATGCAGATGGGTGGGTTGTGGGGAGCGTTTGGGGGCTCCGACCCCATGGCAGTGTCTAGAGGCAAATGTTTACAGCTCTCGAAGCCCCACTGGGCCTGTGTTACAGTGTGCTCTTTCAGTTTTGCTGTCTGCAGGCGGCTTGCGTTGATCAGCTCAGTTAGACCCTCCACCTTATGGCAAAGACAGAGGGCTTTCTGTATCCTGGGTTCTTGCCCTAGGGTACTGGAAAAGTCGGATCACACGTGGGCTTGGAGGATGGGTGAAAGGTTTTATCGAGTGGTGGAAGTTGCTCTCAGCGAGGGAGATGGGGAGCCAGAAGGGGGATGGAGTGGGCAGGTGGTCTTGAGGGTGGAGCTGGGCCACTCAGCGGCCAGACTCTCTTTTGACTATCCCTGGCCGAATTCCATGTTGTCCCACAGTCGATGGGCTGCGGGCGTCTGTGGTGTCTGTCGGTGTGGTGTTCTGCTCCTTTGCGCCTCTTGACGTCTAGTGCTTGTGTGTGTACCCGCTACGGTCTCTCGGGTGTATATGGCCATAGGATAGGGGGTGTGGTGGGCCAGAATGCTCTCGGAAAATGCAACATTTGGTTGTGAAAACAGAAGTCCTGTTCTCACTTAGATCCGTGGGCACAAGCTCGAGAGTGGAGCCCTCGCCAGGGACCCTGCCATTCTCTACCCAGCACTTCCCTGCCCCCCTCCCATATCCGCGCTAGAATTTTTTTTTTTTTTTTTTTGAGAGGGAGTTTCGCTCTTGTCCTCCAGGCTGGAGTACAGTGGCGCTATCTCGGCTCACTGCAACCTCTGCCTCCCAAGTTCAAGCGATTCTCCTGCCTCAGCCCCCCAGGTAGCTGGGACTACAGGCGTGCGCCACCACACATGGCTAATTTTTTGTGTTTTTAGTAGAGACGGGGTTTTGTCATGTTGGCCAGGCTGGTCTCCAGCTCCTGACCTCAGGTGATCCGCCCACCTCAGTCTCCCAAAGTGCTGGGATTACAGGTGTGAGCCACTGCCCCCAGCCAGTACTAGAAACTTTCTATGCAAAGAAATGAGAAGTGCTCCTCTTTATTCTTTTACAAAAATTGTTCTCATTTCCTTATCTAGATTTCCTCCCTCCCATTGTTTCATATTACTATAGTATCTGCCCCATGTGTTGATTCTTGGGCATCTTCTTTCCAGTATCACGGCTTTAACACCATCTATTTGCCTGTTGCTCAGAACATTATCCCCATTCTGCACTTTTTCCCTGAACTTCAGAATCTGAGAGCTAACGCCTACTAAACATTATCAGTTAAATATTCAATAAGTATCTCAAATTTATTCTATCCAGACCTGAAATCTTCTTCTAGTTGTTCATGCTAAAACCTTCCATTCAGTCTTGACTTATTCCTTTCTCTCATATCCTACCTTTAGCAAATCTAAACTCTATTTTCAAAACATATTCAGAATTCAGTTACTTCTCACCACCTATTGCACATTAATAAAAGATACCAACAATGTTCGCATAGATTATGCCATGATCTCCTACTTGATCTCACTGCTCTACCCTTGTCTCTCCAGAGTCTGTTCTCAACACAGTAGCTGTGATCCTGTTAAAATATGACATTCATCTACCTAACAACATTCAGTGTATTCCCAGATTAGAATAAAAGCCAAAGTCCTAAAATGGCCTGACACACTAAAGTTAATCACTACATCCCCAGACTTTACCTCTCTGACCTCATCTCACCTAAGCTTTCCTCCTTTCAGTTCTCTTCAGCAAGACTGTCCTCATTGCTATTCCTCTAACATACCAGGACTCTTCTAGTCCATCATCTTTGCACTTGCTGTCCACTTGATTGGAATGCTTTTTTCCCAGATAGACACGTGGATTATTCCCTTACTTTATTTAAAACTTTGCTTATGTTGCCTTTTGAGTGAGGCCTTATCCTACTGTCTATTTAAAATTCCAGCTTTTCCCATCATAGTCTGTACTGTCTACTCTCCTCTGACCTTTTTTTTCTATAGTATGCTGTATAGGTTTTTTAAAAATGTGATTTATTTTTTGTTTCCTGTGCCAGAGATACTATTGCTCAGCAAACATTAATGTGCCCCCCTTATTTTGCAGATCATTTGAAGTTAGGCAAGGCCAGTTGTTTATATGGCCTATATTCATGTGACTAGTTCTTCTGGTCCAAATGACATGCACCATGTCCAGGCTAAACAGTAAAAGTAGGGTCTCTTCCTATGCTGAAGTATTCAAGGAGGAGGCTACATGTTCTGAAAGGCACAATTACTGAATAAAGGAGTTTCCATCAACCTGGATTCCTGAGTGACTCACGAATATCATCACCTCTAGAAACCATGATGGACTTGCAGTGTGTCCGTGAGTGAGAAATGAACTTTTGTTGTGTTAAGCCACTGAGCTTAGAGGGTTGCTTGTCACCACAGCATAATTTAAACTATCTTGATCTTGACAATACATTCCCTCTGTGAAAGCAATAATATTTTTTCTTTTTCATTTTTGTTAACGTATGTATTCCCATAACATCAGACAACTACTAACACATAGTTGCTAAATATTTGTTGAATGACTGAATAAATAAATAAATGAGTGAATGGTATCCATATATTAATAATATTGTATTCCTTAACAATTAAGTGTACATTAAACCTGTGTACAAAGATTTGTTTAATAAGTACTCTGGATTTAGTCTATAGGCTCACTGAAATAAAATGTGCCCAAATCTAAATAAGTGTCTGATGAGAGAGATTAAAAAGTTATAAGGCATGGGAACATTTTTTCTGGTGTGAGATGGTTCTGCTAATTGTAGAACATCTAGAATCCCAAATGTATTCCATTTGGAATTCTAGTGGTGCCTCTCTCCTTCCCAGTGAATAGAATGTCGAAAAAAAAAAAACCCAATTAAAAAAAAATAGAAACTCTGAAGACTGGAACTATCCTCATCTAGAAAACTTGATTTTTGTGAAAATTACTAATAAATTGCAAAAAAAAAAAAACCATTTAGCTGTCAGAAGTTTCCTCTAAAGAGAATGAAAATGTTTTATTTGATATCTGAATAATTTGAAACACTGTTGGAAAATGATGTAAAAAAAATTTGAAGACCTAGAAAAGGGATTGACAAATTTTTCTCTAAAGTATTTTTAGACTTTGCAGGCCACACACGGTCTCTGTCATATATTTTTCTGGTTTTTTGTTTTGTTTTGTTTTGTTTTTGCTATCTTGTTTGTTTTGTCTTATTTTTAACCCTTTAAAATGGGAAAGCCATACTTAGTTCTGGGGGCATACAAAAACATGCTACAGGCAGAGGGCAGAATTTAGCCTGCAGGCTGGCCAAAATTTGCCAACCCCTGCCCTAGCTCTCTCCCCTTACACTCTTAAAAAGTTTTTGAGGACCCAAAGAGCTACTGTTTATATGAGTGGTATAATATTGACATATATAATATCAATATTTACTGTATTCAAAATTAAAGCAGCGAAAGTTCTAAAACATTAATTCCTTTTCCAAAAACCAAAGTTAATTCATTATGTGAGATATAATTAATATGTATTTATGAAAATATATTTTTTCAAAACAAAATGAGAAGCAAGTATTTTACATTTTTGTAGATTTATTTAATGTCAAGTACTAGAAGATGAATGGATTCTCATATATACTTCTGCATTCAAGGTATACATTGTTTTGGTTTAAATATATGTAGACAAGATAGTCTTATACAGGTATGTAGTAGGAAAAGATAAGAACATTTTAATAGGCGTTTCAGATGATTGTGAATATTATTTTTAAATGCTACATCAATACTCATCATGTCATAGTTTCTCAAAAGGTAGTTGCAACGTAGAATAGGAAACCATGTCAATGAACTTTATAAACTCTGTTACACTAAAATTTATATGCCTGTCTTGGACTTTGAATAGTTCTTTACCCAGTCATAACTTTATAAGCATTGGTCATTTGGAAAATATTGGTTTACTAAGCTATGCATACCTACAAAATGTTGACTCTTTTATTAGTCTAAATTTTTAACAAGCGTATTAATTAATATCACCACCAATTGTGTGATAAAAGACTTTAAGTATTAGAATAACAAAGTGATAGACATTCTAATTTTAATTTTATGTTGATATCTCACATTTTATTGTTGAGAAAATATTGACATTTAATGGCCTTGAAGTGACAAGCCCATTTCATCATTTTTGACAAAAAATGCATCAAAACATCAAATGTGAATAAACGAACTTTGTCCCTAATTTTTCCAAGTTAAAAAAAACTTTTATTTCATGAAAGACTTATTCTAGCTTGCAATTTAAACAATGGCACACATGCTTTCTCTCAGAACAACTGTCATATTTTGGTATGTAACAAAAGTGATGACATGGTCAATGCTAGAGATTTAGTAAAATTAATAATATTTATTGCTTCATGAAAGATATTCTTAATTAAAACTTGTATTTTTTTCCTGTGACTGAGTGGTGGTGATGAACAGTGACTATTAGTTGAGTTCAGTTTCACTACTTTGATCCATGCCAGGACACCATAGTTTTCCCCCCATTGCTGTTCCACTGTGGTTGCAAACATCAACACAGTGAAAAAAGTAACATAACACATTATTATCATAATGGTTATTATCAATTTTATTATTTTAGCCTGTGGTAAACTTGAAAAGGTCACAGGGACTACTGTGTGTCCACAGATCACTTTAAGAACTGCTGTCTAGAAGTTATCCTTTGCAAGGAGGCAAACCCCTCCCTGCCAAACCTAAGCCTATCTTCCAAATGTTGGTGTAAGAAACTCCACAGATCCTGTCTCCAGTGAAGAAAGCATACCTTTTAAAGAAAGAAAAGTGTGTGTATGTGTTTGTGTGTGTGTCTGCATATGTTTAAAAACTGCAAATTGTCCTAAAAGCATACAGCAAATAAAGAAACATTTATTCAAGACAATCTAAATAATCACACAATAAGAACAAGGAGCATTTGTGGCATTTGAACCATGACCCATTTCTTTCCTTTCCCTTCCATCTTAGCATAGTAGAAACTTCAATCTAGTCGGGAGCAACCAAGAACATAGACTCCCTCTTTCTCCAGCTGCAATATCTTTCAGGAGAATTAAGGTCAGTTAAAATCTAGAATATCTCCCAGGAGAGGCAGGCTATCCGCGTTTCTCATGCCACCCAGCTCTCTGTTACAGTAGCCCTATTCCAAGGCAAGAATAACTGACCTAGCCCCCATTCTAGGACAGAAGCTAAACCCCAGGCACAGGAGTTGTAGAATGCTGAGACCTTGTTAACCTTCATCCCAGCTCACTTATAAGTCTAAGTGAGCTTGTCCCTTCCATGCTGGGAGGAATAAACTAAGAAGAACAAAGGTATGCAGTTCCAACCAGTTTCCTGCTTGTAAAACAGTGTGTCACTCAAAGACAAGTGAAACAATATCCCTACACTCAGCTTTAGAGCAGTCGTGCACAGATTTTGTTCAGGGGCAGAGAAGACAATAAGAAGAGAGAGCTCTGAAACACTCCCCAAAAGACCTGACTTTATTTGGAAAAGAGTACGGGGAAAGTTCAAGCTTAGGGACAATCTTGAAAACAAATAAGAGGATAATGGGAGCTCCATGAGTGTGGTGAGCTACACCATTTCCAATATAGAAAATATAGAAATCTAACAAAGAGAGCTAGAGACAGAGACGGGTAGTAAGAGGGTCCTCTTGGGTTGGAATGAAAACCAAAAATGAGTCTCATAGACTACCCTGGCAAAGAGTATCAAATTTTAAAAAAAAGCAGAAAAATATCCAAAGAAATAATGGCTAAAATATATTTTATTTTATTTTTTAACTTATTTTTTAATTTGTATGAATGTAGGACATTCAAATGCAGTTTTGTAACATAGATATATTGTGTAGTGGCAAAATATAGCCTTTTAGTATAATCATCGTCCAAATAATGTACATAAATAATTTCTCATCCTTTACCCTTCTCCCGCTGTCCCAACCTTCCAGGCCTCCAGTGCCCATTATTCCGCATTCTATGTTCATTTGTATACATTATTTAGCTCCCACTTATAATTGACAACATATAGTTTTTGATTGTACTAATTACCTAATCTAGGTATTTGCGTAGAGATTGTACTAATTAACATTCCCACCAACAATGTAGAAGTATTCTCTTGTCTCTGCAGCCTCACAACCTCTGTTGTATTTTGACTTTTTAATAATATCCATTCTGACTGGTATAAGATCGTATCTCATTGTGGTTTGAGTTTTTATTTTTCTGATTAGTGATGTTGAGTTTTTTTCATATGCTTATTGATAATTTCTATGTCTTTTCAGAAATGTTTGTTCATATAATTTGCCCACTTTTTAATGAGGTTATTTGATTTTTAAAATTGTTGTTAACTGTTTGGATTTCTTATAGATTCTGGATATTATTCCCTTGTTGAATGCAAGTTTTGCAAAAATTTTCTCTTATTCTGTAGGTTGTCTGTTCACTCTGTTATTTCTTTGGCTATGCAGAAGCTTTTTAATTTAATTAAATCTCATTTGTCTATTTTTGTTTTTGTTAACTTTATTTTTGAGGTGTTAGTCATGAATTTTTTTGCCTAAACATATGTTCAGAAGAGTTTTTCTGAGGTATTCTTTTTTTTATAGTTTTAGGTTTTGTATTTAAGTCATTAATTCATTTTGAATTAATTTTATGTATGGTGAGAGTTAAAATCCAGTTTCATTCTTCTTCATATGGCAAACCATTTTTTCCAGCACTATTTATTGAATAAGATGTCTTTTCCCCAATGTATGTTTTTGTTGACTTTATCAAAGATTAGTTGGCTTTAGGTATGTGGCTTTGTTTCTGGGTTTTCCATTCTGTTCCATACATCTATTTGTCTATTTTTATACCAGAACTACACTATTTTGGTTACTATAGCCTTGAGGTAATTTGAAGTCATGTAATGTAATGCTTCTAGCTTTGTTCTTTTTGCTTAGGTATGCTTTGCTATTTAGGGTCCTTTTTGGTTCCATATGAATTTTAGGATTCTTTTTTCTAATTGTGAGAAAAATGATATTGATATTTTTATAGAAATTACATTGATTCTGTAGATTGCTTTGGGAAGTATGGTCATTTTAATGATATTGATTCTTTTGATGCATGAACATGGGATGTTTTTACATTTGCTTGTGTCATCTATGATTTCCTTCCTCAATGTTTGTTGTTTTCCTTGTAGAGATCTTTCATCTTCTGGGTTAAATATATTCCTAAGTATTTTATTTTTGTAGTGATTGCGAATGGGATTGGCTTCTTGATTTTGTTCTCAGTTTGATTGTTACTAGTGTGTAGAAGTTCCACTGATTTTTGTACATTGATTTTGTATCCTGAAACTTTACTGAACCGATTTATCAAATCTAGGAGTCTTCTGGAGGACACTTTAACGTTTTCCATATGTAAGATTATATCATCAGCAAACAGATAATTTGACTTACTCTTTTTCAATTTGGTACTTTGTTTTTTTCTTGCCTGATTGCTCTGGCAATCAGGTTCTTCCAGTACTATGTTGAATAGGAGTAGTGAATATGAGCATCCCTGTATTGCTCTAGTTCTTAAGGGAAATGCTTTCAATTTTTCCCCATTCAATATGATGTTTGCTGAGGGTTTGTCTTATATGAATGTTATTATTTTGAACATTCATATAATTATCCTTGAATTATTCTTGCCTGATTGCTCTGGCAATCATAGTACTTCTGGTGCTATGTTGAATAGGGGTGGTGAATATGAGCATTCCTGTCTTGCTCTAGTTCTTAAGGGAAATACTTTCAATTTTTCCCCATTCAATATGATGTTTGCTGAGGGTTTGTCTTATATGAATGTTTTTATTTTGAAGTATGTTTCTTCTATGCCTAGTTTGTTGAGGGTTTATATCATAAGAGGATTCTGAATCTTATCAAATGCTTCTTTTGCATCTATTGAGATGATCATATGATTTTTGTTTTCTGTTTATGTGGCAAATCACATTTATTGATATGCATATGTTAAACCATCCTTGCATCTCTGGAATAAAATCCACTTGGTCATGATGAATTATCTTTTTGATATGTTGTTGCACTTGGTTTGTTAGTATTAGGTTTGCTAGGATTTTTGCATCTATGTTCATCAGGAATATTGGTCTGTAGTCTTTTCTGTTGTGTTCTTGCCTGGCTTTGGTATCAGGGTAATACTGGCTTCATAGAATGAGTTAGGGAGGAATACCTCCTCCTTGATTATTTGGAAGAGTTTTAGGAGGATGGGTACCATCTCTTCTTTGAATGTTTTATAGAATTTGGCTGTGAATCCATCTGCTCCTGTGCTTTTTTGAGGAGGGAGATTTTTTTAATTACTGATTCAATTTCACTACTTTTATTAGTCTGTTCAGGATTTCTGTTTCTTTATCATTCAATCTTCGGAGGATGTATGTTCCCAGGAATTTATCCATTTCCTCAGATTTCAAGTTTGTGCATGTATGGTTTTTCATATGTCTCTAATGATTGTTTTTTATTTCTGTGGTATCAGTTGTAATGTCTCCTTTTTTCATTTCTGAATACGTGTATTTTGGATCTTCTCTTTTCCTGGTTCATCTTGCTAGTGGTCTATCAACCTTATTTATCTTTTCAAAGAAACAACTTTTCATTTCATGGATCTTTTGTATTGTTCTCTTGTTCTCAATTTCACTTAGTTCTGCTCTAATCTTTGTTGTTTCTTTTCTTCTGCTAGCTTTTGGCTTAATTTTTTTCTTGTTCTTCTAGTTATTTGAGGTGAAATTTTTGGTTGTTAACTTGTGATGTTTTTATTATTTTGATGTAGGCATTTAATGCTATAAAATTCCATCTTAGCACTGCTTTTGCTGTATCCCAAAAGTTCTGGTATGTTATATCTTGATTTTCAATCATTTAAAAATATTTTAAATTTTTCATATTAATTTAGCCATTGACTCAAAGATGGTTCAAGTTTATGTTGTTTAATTTCCATATATTTGTATCATTTTCAGAGTCTCTGTAGACATTGATTTCTATTTTTATTCCACTATGGTCCAAAAAGATACTTGGCATGATTTTAAATTTTTAAATTTTTTGAGACTTGTTTTCTGGCCTAACATATGGTCTATCTTGGAGAATGTTTCATGTGCAGATGAGAAGAATGTATATTCTACAATTGTATATTCTACAAATATATGTTAGGTCCATTTGTTCTAAAGTCCAATTTAGGTCCAGTGTTCCTTTTGTTGATTTTCTGTCTTGATGATTTGTCTTATGCTGTCAGTGGGGCATTGAAGTCATCCACTATTATTGCATTGCTGTTTATCTCTTCTTTAGGTCTAGTAATTGTTTTATGAATCTGGGTGCTCCAGTGCTGGTGCATATGTATTTAGGATGATTGTATCTTCTTGGTGAATTGATGTTTTTATTAATATATAATGACCTTCTTTGTCTTTTTTTAAACTATTGTTTATTTGAGGTCTGCTTTATCTACATAAGTATAGCCACTACTGCTCACTTTTGCTTTCCATTTTCATGAAATATCTTTTTCCACCTCCTTACATTCCATCTGTAAGTGTTTTTAAAAGTAAGGCAAGTTTCTTATAAGCAGTATATAGTTGGTTCCTGTTTCTTTATCTATTTCTACAATCTATATCTTCTAGATGGAGCATCTAACCTATTTATATACAAGGTTGACATTGATATGTGAAGTTTTTTTTCCTGTCATAATCTTAACTGTTATTTAGTTGCTTTGTAGATTGTTTCTTTTTTTTTTCTTTTTGTCTTTGTGGTTTGGTGTTCAAGTGTGTTGCCATGTTGTTTCTTTCTCTTTTCTCCTTTGTGTAATTGTTTTATGGGACACTATGAGCACTATGCACTTGTGTCAGCAGATGTTGTAATGGACTGCATGTTGAACTGCCAGCCAGTAGGTGGCACTTGTCAGTGAAAGCCAGCTGCAGTGGTAGCAGTCGAGTTTATGCTTGATCTTTGATAACCAGGAGATATACTTGGGTGTCACAGGTGATGGGCTGGGCCTTGGAACTTCCAATGTTTCCAGTCCTGTGCTCTGCTTCCAAGATGGGGGTGGGGTTGCAAAGCTTGGCAGGACTAGGACAAGCAAGTCTGCACTTGGGTCATGCAATGGCAGGTGCAAGTGCTGGTCCTGATGGGGGTTAGAAGGCAGTTCTTAAGCCCCTGGAGAACTCTCCAGGAAGAAATGGAGCAATTGATGACGTTCTATGAGTTAATATAGGGAAGGAGGGGCAGCTTGGGCTCCAAATGCTAGCATGCAGTAGTGGGAACCGCCTCCATTCCATGCTCTCAACTTGGTGGGCTCCCTCCTGTGGCCTGTTACTGGTAGCAAGCTGAGACAGCCAGGCAAGTCACAAGCAATTTGTCTTCATATCATAAGACTGCTAATGCCATTAAACTCCCTGCCCAGGATGAAACCATAGCTCCCAGGCCAAATGCCTCCCAGTCCAGTCCTGTGAAAGCGAGGCACCCAACAACCACGATTACAGCTGGAGCACACACCACACTCACCTCTCAAGTCTGGGTGTGGAGTCTCCTCCCTGCTCAAGAATAGATTGCAAATACCCATCTGGAGACCATCCAAATCAGTGACTGCCTCCTATCCTGGCTGGCAGGTTCCTCTCAGCCCACTCCCCAAATTTTATTAAAAACATAAATCTACATATTCAAAAGTGAAATGAAATCCAGCTAAGATAAATGCAGATTCAACATAGTCCCAAAACTATATGAAGTAAAAACTGACATAGCAGAAAAACAATTCAACAATAAGATTTGGAGAATACATTACCCCCAAGTTCAATAAGGTATGGAACAACTGGAAAAATATCAATAAGAAAGGCTTGAACAACACTATATACCAACTAGACCTACCCACATCTATAGCACAGTCCATTAACAATAGCAGAGTACATGTTCTTCTGAAGCACACAAGGAATATTCTTTAGGATAAACAATATGCTGGACCATAAAAACACGCCTCGATAATTTTTTTTTATTTTACAGCTGTTTTTAAATTTATTTTTATTTATTTATTTTTCTATAAGTTATTGGAGTACAGGTGACATTTGGTTACATGAGTAAGTTCTTTAGGGGTGATTTGTGAGCTTTTGGTGCATCATTCACCCCAAGCAGTATACACCACACCATATTTGTAGTCTTTTATCCATCGCCCCCCTACCTCTCTTCCCCCCAAGTCCCCAAAGTTCACTGTAGCATTCTTATGCCTTTGTGTCCTCATAGCTTAGCTCCAACGTATCAGTGAGAACATACGATGTTTGGTTATACATTCCTGAGTTACTTCACTTAGAATAATAGTCTCCATTCTCATCCAGGCCATTGCAAATGCTGTTAATTTATTTCTTTTTATGGCTGCATAGTATTCCATCATATATATATATCACAGTTTCTGTATTCATTCATTGATTGATGGGCATTTGGGTTGGTTCCATGATTTTGCTATTGTGAATTGTGCCACTAAAAACATGGATGTGCAAGTATCTTTTTTGAACAATGACTTCTTTTCCTCTGGGTAGATACCCAATAGTGGGATTGCTGGATCAAATGGTAGTACTACTTTCTTGGTTCTTTAAGGAATCTCCAAACTGTTTTCCACAGTGGCTGTACTAGTTTACATTCCCACCAGCAGTGTAGAAGTGATCCCTGTTCACCGCATCCATGTCAGCATCTACTGTTTTTTTATTTTTTTCATTACGACCATTCTTGCAGGAGTAAAGTGGTATCACATTGTGGTTTTCAGTTGCATTTCCCTGATCCTTAGTGATGTTGAGCATTTTTTCATATGTTTATTGGCCACTCATATATCTTCTTTTGAGAACTGTCTATTCATTAGCCTACTTTCTAAGAGGATTTTTGTTTTTTTCCTACTGGTTTGTTTTGAGTTTGCTTCTACAACAAACTGGATATTAGTCCTTTGTCAGCTGTACAGTTGTAAACATTTTCTCCTACTCTGTGGGTTGTCTGTTTACTCTGCTGACTGTTCCTTTTGCTGTGCAAAAGCTCTTTAGTTTAATTAGGTCCCAGCTATCTATCTTTGTTTTTGTTGCATTTGCTTTTGGGTTCTTGGTCATGAAATCCTTGTCTAAGCCAATGTCTAGAAGGGTTGTTTCAATGTTATCTTCTAGAATTTTTATAGTTTCAGGTCTTAAGTTTAAGTCCTTAATCCACTTTGGGTTGATTTTTGTATAAGGTGAGAGAAGAGGGTCCGGTTTCATTCTTCCACAGGTGGCTAGCCAATTAACCCAGCACCATTTTTTGAAAACGGTGTCCTTTCCCCACTTTATATTTTTGTTTGCTTTGTCAAAGATCAGTTGTCTGCAAGTATTTGGGTTTATTTTTGTGTTCTCTATCCTGTTCCACTGACCTATGTGCCCATTTTTGTATCAGTACCACACTGTTTTGGTGACTATGATCTTAAAGTATAATTTGAAATCAGGTAGCGTGATGCCTCCAGATTTGTTTTTTTTTTTTTTTTTTTTTTTTTTTTTTTTTTTGCTTAGTCCTACTTTTGCTATGTGGGCTCTTTTTTGGTTCCATATGAATTTTAGAATTTTTTTTCTAATTTTGTGAAGAAAGACAGTGGTATTTTGATGGGGACTGCATTGAATTTACAGATTGCTTTTGGCCATATGGTCATTTTCACAATATTGATTCTACCCATCTATGCGCATGGGATGTGTTTTCATTTTTTTGTCTTGTCTATGATTTCTTTCAGTAATGTTTCATAGTTTTCCTTGTAGAGGTCTTTTCACTCCTTGGTTAGGTATATTCCTAAGCATTCTTTTTGCAGCTATTGTTAAAGGGGTTGAGTTCTTGATTTGATTTTCCACTTGTTCGCTGTTGATGTATAGAAGAGCTACTGATTTGTGTACATTAATCTTATATCCATAAACTTTGCTGAATTTTTTCTCAGTTCTAGGAGCTTTCTGGAGAAGTTCTTAGGGTTTTCAAGGTAAACAGTCAGATCTTCAGCAAACAGTGATAATTTGACTTCCTCTTTACCAATTTGGATGCCCTTTATTTCTTTCTCTTGTCTGATTGCTCTGGCTAGAACTTCCAGTACTATGTTGAAGAGGGTTGCTGAGAGTGCGCATCCTTGTCCTGTTCCAGTTCTCATAGGGAATGCTTTCAATTTTTCCTCTTTCGGTATTATGTTGGCTGTGGTTTTTGTCATAGATGGCTTTTATTAATTAAGATATGTCCCTTGTATGTCTATTTTGCTGAGAGATTTAATTATAAAGGGAGGCTGAATTTTGTCAAATGCTTTTTCTGCATCTATTGAAATGATCATGTGATCTTTGTTTTTAATTCTGTTTATGTGGTGTATCACATTTATTGACTTGTGTATGTTAAACCATCCCTAAATCCCTGGTATGAAACCCACTTTGTCATGGTGGATTATCTTTTTGATATGTTGTTAGTTAGTATTTTGTTAAGTTAGTTAGTATTTTGTTAAGAATTTTAGCATCAATGGTCATCAAAGATATCAGTCTGTAGTTTTCTTTTTCGGTTATGTCCTTTCCTGGTTTTGGTATTAGAGTGATGCTGGCTTCATAAAATATATTCGGGAGGGTTCCTTCTTTCTCTATCTTATGGAATAGTGTCGAAAGGAATGGTGCCAATTTTTTGAATGTCTGGTAAAATTCTGCTGTGAATCCATCTGCCCTGGACTTTTTTTTTTTTTTGGTAATTTTTCAAATACCATTATTTCAATCTCATTGCTTGTTATTGGTCTGTTCGGAGTATCTAACTCTTCCTAATCTAAGCTAGGAAGGTTATATTTTTCCAGGAATTTATCCATCTCTTCTAAGTTTTGTAGTTTATGTGCATAAAGGTGCTCATAGTAGCTTTGAATGATCTTTTGTATTTCAGTGATGTCAGTTGTAATATCCCATTTCACTTCTTAGTGAGGTTATTTGGATTTTCTCTCTTCTTTGCTTAATTAATCTTGCTAATAGTCTATCAATTTTATTTGTATTTTCAAATAACCAGCTTTTTTTTCATTTATATTTTGTATTGTCTTTTTTGTTTCAATTTCATTTAGTTCTACTCCGATCTTGGTAATTCCCTTTCTGCTGCTGGGTTTGGGTTTGCTTTGTTCTCGTTTCTCTAGTTCCTTGAGGTGTGACCTTAGAATGTCAGTTTTTGCTTTTCCAGTCTTCAAGATGTAGGTGCTTAGGGCTATGAACTTCCGTCTTAGTATCACCTTTGCTGTATCCCGGGGGTTTTGATAGGTTATATCACTACTGTCATTCAGTTCAAAGAATTTTTAAATTTCCATCTTGATTTCGTTTTTGGCCCAGTGCTCATTCAGGAACAGGTTATTTAATAGATTAATCAGATTAATAGCAGATTTCTGGTTTGCATGGTTCTGAAGTTTCCTTTTGGAGTGAATTTCTCCAGTTTTATTCCACTGCAGTCTGAAAGAGTGCTTGATACAATTTCAATTTTCTTAAGCTTCTTGAGGCTTGTTTTATGGTCTATCATATGGACTATCTCGGAGAAAGTTCTATGCACTGTTGAGTAGAATATGTATTCTGCAGTTGTTGGATAAAAATGTTCTGTATACATCTGTGAAGTCCATTTGTTCCAAGGTATAGTTTAAATCCATTGTTTCTTTATTGACTTTCTGTCTTGATGAGCTGTCTAGTGCTGTCAGTGGAGTATTGAAGTCCCCAACTATTACTGTGTTGCTGTCTATCTAATTTCTTAGGTCTATTAGTAATTCTTTTATAAACTTGGGATGTGCAGTGTTAGGTGCATATATGTTTAGGATTGTGATATTTTCCTGTTGGACAAGGCCTTTTACCATTATATAATGTCCCTCATTCTCTCTTTTAACTGCTGTTGCTTTAAAAGTTTTTTTTGTCTAATAAAAGCATACTCTTTTGGTGTCCATTTGCATGAAATGCCTTGTTCTACCCCTTTACTTTAAGTTTATCTGAGTCCTTATGTGTTAGATGAGCTTCCCGAAGGCAGCAGATAGTTGGTTGGTGAGTTCTTATCCATTCTGTGGTTCTGTATCTTTTAAGCGGAGGATTTAGGCTGTTTACATTAAATGTTAGTATTGCAATATGAGGTACCATTGCATTCATTGTGCTCTTTGCTGCCTGTGTGCTTTTTCTGTTTTTGTGTTTTTGCTTTTTAACTTGTATTTTTGTTTTACAGGTCCTGTGTGATTTATGCTTTAAAGAGATTCTATTTTGATGTGTTTCTAGGATTATTTCAAGATTTAGAGCTCCTTTTAGTAGTGGTGGGTTGGTAATGGCAAATTCTCTCACCATTTGTTTGTCTGAAAAAGACTGTATCTTTCCTTCATATATAATGCTTAGATTTGCTGGATATAAAATTCTTGGCTGATAATTGTTTTGTTTGAGGAGGCTGAAGATACAGCCCCAGTCCCTTCTAGCTTGTAGGGTTTCTGGCTCATAAATCTGCTATTAATCTGATAGGTTTTCCTTTGTTGATTACCTGGTGCTTCTGTCTCACAGCTCTTAGAAGCCTTTCCTCCACCTTAACTTTGGATAACCTGATGACCATGTGCCTAGGTGAAAATCTTTTTGAAATGAATTTCCCAGGTGTTCTTTGTGCTTCTTGTATTTGGATGTCTAGGTCTCTAGCAAGGCCAGAAAAGATTTCCTCCAATATTCTCCTGAATATGTTTTCCAAGCTTTTAGAATTCTTTTCTTTCTCATGAACACTGGTTATTCTTAGGTTTGGTCTTTTAACATAATCCCAGACTTCTTGGAGGCTTTGTTCATATTTTCTTATTCTTTTTTCTTTGTCTTTGTTGGATTGGGTTAATTTGAAGACCTCGTCTTTGAGCTCTGCATTTCCTTCTTCTACTTATTCATTTCTATAGACAAAGACCTCATGACTGAAACACCAAAAGCAATGGCAACAAAAGCCAAAATTGACAAATGGGATCTAATTAAACTAAAGAGCTTCTGCACAGCAAAAGAAACTATCATCAGAGTGAACAGGCAACCTACAGAATGGTTTCAATCTATCCATCTGACAAAGGGCTAATATCCAGAATCTATAAGGAATTTAAACAAGTTTACAAGAAAAAAACAAACAACCCCATCAAAAAGTGGGCAAAGGATATGAACAGACAGTTCTCAAAAGAAGACATTTATGCAGCCCACAAACATATGAAAAAAAGCTCATCACTGGTCATTAGAGAATTGCAAATCAAACCACAATGAGATACCATCTCACAACAGTTAGAATGGTGATCATTAAAAAGTCAGGAAACAACAGATGCTGGAGAGGATGTGGAGAATAGGAATGCTTTTACACTATTGGTGGGAGTGTAAATTAGTTCAACCATTGTGGAAGACAGTGTGGCAATTCCTCAAGGATCTAGAACCAGAAATACCATTTGCCCCAACAATCCCACTACTGGGTATATACTCAAAGGATTATAAATCATGCTACTATGAAGACACATGCACATGTATGTTTATTGCGGCACTATTCACAATAGCAAAGACTTGGAACCAACCCAAATGTCCATCAATGATAGACTGGATAAAGAAAATGTGGCACATATACACCATGGAATACAATGCAGCCATAAAAAAGGATGAGTTCATGTCCTTTACAGGGACATGGATGAAGCTGGAAACCATCATTCTCAGCAAACCCACACAGGAACAGAAAACCAAACACTGCATGTTCTCTCTCATGAGTGAGATTTGAACAATGAGAACACATGGACACAGGGTGGGGAACATCACATACTGGGGCCTGTCAGGGGGTGTGGGGCTAGAGGAGAGACAGCATTAGAAGAAATACCTAATGTAGATGATGGGTTGATGGGTGCAGCAAACCACCATGGTACACATATGCTTATGTAACAAACCTGCATGTTCTGCACATGTATCCTAGAACATAAAGTATAATAAAAATTATATATAAAAAATTTTTAAAACTGACTCAAGGTGAAATAGAAAATTTGATTAATCTATAAGAAGTAAAGAGATTGAATTTGTAATTAAAATACTTCCCATAAAGAAAAGCAGAACTCAAATGGTTTAACTGGTGATTTTTACCATGCATTTAAGAATTAATACCACTGTGTACAAACTTCTTCACAACCTAAAAAAGGTAACGCATCCTAACTTATTCTATGAGGACAGTGTTCTTAATTAAGAAGACCTTATGAGCAACACACACACACACGTGCGCACACACACACACAAACCTACATACTAACATCTCCTATAAATATAGATACAAAAGTCCGCAACAAAATACTAGAAACACAGAACCCACAACATATGGAAACATATCATTACTGAGTTGGATTTATCCCAAAAATGTAAGGTTAGTTTTACATTCAAAAATTCATTATTACAATACACCTTAATAATATAATAAAGGACAAAAGCCACAAAAGCAACACTCATTAGTGAAAAACATTCAGAAAACTAGGAATAAAGTTGAACTTCCTCAATTTGATAAGAAAAAGGATCTATGAAAAGCTTATGGCTAGCATCATACTTAATGGTGAAAACTTACAGGATTTTCCCTAAGATCAGGGAAAAAAAGAGATATTCTCCTTACCACATCTTTTCAATGTCATACTAGAGGTGCTATGCAGGACAATTAGACAAGAAAATGAAGTAAAAAGTAGGCAAATCGAAAAGAAAATGGTAAATCTATAATTGCAGAGTTATATAACCTTATATAAATTTCTAGGATTCCACTTAAAATTTACTAAAATTATTGAAGAAGTTCAGCAAGGTTACAGGTTACAAGATCAGTCTATAAAATTCAGCTGTATTTCTACACACTGGCAATAAATAATCCAAAAAAAAAACGAAAAACAATTTCACTTCCAGTAGTATGAAAAATAATAAAATACTTGGAAATAAACTTAATTAAAGAACTGTAAAATTTATAGTCTGAAAACCACAAAACAGTGTTGAAAGAAATTAAAGAAGACCTAAATAATTGGAAAGCCATTCCATGTTCAAGGATTGGAAGACGAAAATGGTTAAAATGGCAATACTCTCTAAATTGATCTACAAATTTATCACTATCTCTATCAAAACCCCAGTTGTAAAGCTAATTCCAAAATTTATTTGAAAATTTTACTATTCTCAGTCTCCAAATTCAAGAGACTGAGAATAGTAAAAATAATCTTGAAAAATAATTCTTCTTGAAAAAGAAGAACAAATTTGGACAACTCACACTTTTCAATTTCAAAACTAACCGCAAAGCTACAGCAATCAGGGAAGGGTACTACTGGCATAAGGATAAATATATAGCTCAATGGAATAATATTGAGGGCCCAACAATAAACCCTTACATTTATGATCAATGGATTTTCAACAGGTATAAAACAATTCAGAGAGAGAATCATCTTTTGAGCAAATGATGCTGGGAGAACTGAATATTCACATTAAAGCTGGATTTCTTCTTCACATTATATACACAAACTAATCAAAATGGGTCAAATACATAAGTGTAAAAGCTAAAACTCTAAATCTCTTAGAAGAACATATAGGAGTAAACTTCATGACCGTGGCTTAGGCAAAGCCTTGTTAGATATGACACAAAAGCACAACACCATGAAAATAGATAAATTGAACTTCATCAAATTTCAAAACTTCACAATACACTATCTAAGAAGGTTAAAAGGCAACCCATGGAAAATATGACCAGAATAATAATGAATAAGAAGATTTAATCAGTAATAGGAAGTCTCCTATCAAAGAAAAGCCTCAGGCCTGATGGCTTCATTGCCGAATTCCACCACACATTTAAAGAATTAATACCAATCCTTCTTAACTTCCAAAAAATTGATGAAGAGGGAATTATTTCAAACTTTATTTATGAGGCCAACATTACCCTGTCTTACCACAGCCAGACAAGGGTATCATAAAAAAACAAAATCACAGGCCAATATCTTTGATGAACATAGATGAAAAATTTCTCAACAAAATACTAGCAAAATACTAGGAAATGGAATTAGACAACACATTAAAAGGACCATTCACCATGATCAAGTGGAATTTATACCTAGGACACAAATATGGTTTAACTTATTATGGTTATCACATTAACAGAATGAAGGACAAAAACCACATGAGCATCTCATTAGATGCAGAAAAATCATTTGACAAAATTCAACATCTTTTCATGATGAAAACTCTCAACAAATTAGTTACAGAAAGAACATACCTCAACACAATAAAGATCATATATGATAAAACTACAGGTAACATTACACTCAATGGGGAAAAATTGAAATCCTTTCCTCTGACATCTGAAACAAGTAAAAGAATGCCCATTTTTGCCACTTCTATTCAACATAGCATTGAAAGTTCTTGCCAGAGCAATTAGGCAAGAGAAAGAAATAAGGCATCTAAACAGAAAAAGAAGAAGTGAAATTTTCAGTTTGCTGATTATATGATCTTAGTCAGCAAACATTGCATAATGATGGGAATGTGTTCTAAGAAATGCATCCTTAGGCAATTTTGTCACTGTGTGAACATCATGGTGTGTACGTACACAAACCTATACGGTATAGTATACTAAAAACCTAGGCTATATGTTATAGCTTATTTCTCTTAAACTACAAACCTGTACAGAATGTTACTATACTAAATACTATTGGCAATGGTAACACAATGAGAAACATTCATGTATCTATAGACAGAAAAGGTGTAATAAGAATACAGTATTACAATCTTATGGAACCCCCATCATATATGTGATCCATTGTTGACGAAAATGTCCTCATGCACTTCATGACTGTGCATAGAAAACCCTAAAGATTCAACCAAAAAACTGTTAAAACTCTAATAAGGGAGTTCAGTAAAGTTGCAGGATACTCAACTGACATACCCAAATCAGTAGCATTTCTATACACTAACAACATATTTTCCAAAAAAGAAATCAAGAAAATAATCCAATTTTAAAAAGCTATATAAAATAAAATACTTAGAAATAAATTTAACCAAAAAGGTGAGAGACCTATGCACTGAAAAATATAAAATGTTAAGAGCAATTTAAGAAAACACAAATAAATGAAAAGATATCTCATGCTCATGAATTGGAAGAATTCATATGGTGAAAATATGAATTGTGAAATGTCTATACTACTGAAAGCAATCCACAAATTCAACACAATGCCTATCAAAATTCCAATGTCACTTTTCTTAGAAACAGAAAAAACAATCTTAAAATTTGTAAGAACCACAAAAAAATCTGAATAGTAAAGACAACTATGAACCAAAAGAACAAAGCTGGAGGCATCACACTATCTAATTTCAAACTACACTACAAAAATATAGTAATTATAACAGCATGGTACTGGCATAAAAATAGACACATTGACCAGTGGAACAGAAGAATAAAGAACCCAGAAATGAACCCAGGGATGTACTGCCAATTGATTTTCAACAACAGTGCCCAGAATAAACAATTGGAAAATGACAGTCTCTTTAATAAACAGTGCTGGGAAAACTGATTATTTAAATGCAAAAGAATAAATCTGGTATTGTTTTTCTTAACTTCCAAAAAATTCCAAAATATTCCAAAATATTCCAAAAATGTCTTATACCATACACAAAAATCAACTCAAAAGATATTAAAGACTTAAACGTAAGACCTGAGGCTGTAAAACTACTAGAAGAAAACATAGCAGAAAAACCTCACAACACTGGTCAGGACAGTGATTTTTTAGATTTGACCCCAAAAGCACAGGAAACAAAAGCAAAAAAATAGATAAAATGGATCACATCAAAATAAAAAGCGTCTGCATAACAAAGGAAACAACAGAATGAAGAGACAACCTATAGATTGGGAGAAAATGTTGGCAAAATACATCTGATAATCATCTAATACCTAAAATATATAAGCAACTCAAACAACTCTATAGAAGGAAAATAAATAATCTGATTAAAAAGTGGACAAGGACCCTGAATAGACATTTCTCAAAAGCAGACATACAAATGGCCAGTGTATATGTAAAAACATGCTCAATATCACCAATCATTAGGGAAATGTATATTAAAATCACAATGAGATATCACCTCCCACCTATTCAGAATGATTATTATCAAAAAGACTAAAGATAACAAGTGTTGGTGAGGATGTGAGGAAAAGGGAACCCTTATACACTGTTGGTGGGAATGTAAATTAGTAGAGTTGTTAAGGAAAACTGTATGGAGATTCCCTTAAAAACTAAAAACAGAATTATTATATGATGCAGCACTCACATGTCTGAATATTTACCCATAAGATTTGAAATCAGCATGTTGAAGATATATTTGTTCTCTCATGTTTATTGTAGCAATATACACAACAGCCAAGATATAGAATCAAACTAAGTATCAGTAGACGACTGGGTAAAGAAAATGTGGTATATATACACAATGGAACATTATTTAGTTTTACAAAAGAAAGAAATTCTGTAATTTACAACAATATGGTCAGAATTAGAGAAGATTACACTAAATAAGATAAGATAGACACAAAAGAACAAATACTACATGTTCTCACTTATATGTGGAATCTAAAAGAATTGAACTCATAGAAGTAGTGAGTATAATGGTGGTTACTAGAGGCTGAGGGCTGGGGGTAATACAAAGCCTCTGACAGAAAAAAAGGTTGGCCGGGCAGGGTGGCTCACGCCTGTAATTCCAGCACTTTAGGAGGCCAAGATGCGCAGATCACAAGGTCAGGAGATCAAGACCATCCTGGCTAACATGGTGAAACCCCATCTCTACTAAAAATACAAAAAATTAGCCGAGCACGGTGGTGGGCGCCTGTAGTCCCAGCTACTCAGGAGGCTGAGGCAGGAGAATGGCGTGAACCCGGGAGGCGGAGCATGCAGTGAGCCGAGATAGGCCACTGCAGTCCGGCCTGGGTGACAGAGCGAGACTCCGTCTCAAAAAAAAAAAAAAAAAGAAAAAAGTTTTGGGTTTTCTTTCTTTCCTTGTTTTTGTTTTTGAGTTCTATTGCACAGCATGGCGAATATAGTTAATAATAGTGTATTGTATATTTCAAAATCACTAAGAGAATAAATTTCAAATGTTTTCACCACAAAAAACAATTAAGTATTTAAGGTGTTGGATATGTTAATTAGCTTGATTTAATTATTCTACATTGTATTCATAAATCATAACATCACTTCATACCCCATAAATATATACTACTATAATTTGTCAATTTATAATTTAAAAAATTTTTAAAGACAACCCATAGAATTGAAGAAAAATGTCTGCAAATCATATATCAAATGAAGGACTTGTATTTGGAATATATTAAAAACTCTTACTATCAAATAATACAACTAAAAATAGGCAAAGTATTTGAATAGATATTTCTCAAAAGCTATACAAATGGCCAATAAGCACATGAAAATATGCTCAGCATCATTATTCATTAGGGAAATACAAATCAAAACACCAGTGAGGTACCATGTATACCCAGTAGGAAATCTATAATTAAAAAGACACATTTGTCAAGGATATGGAGAAATTGAAACCCTCACATTGAATGTTAAATGGTACAGATGCTTTGGAAAACAATCTGGCAGTCCCTGAACAGGTTAAATATAGAGTTACCATATGATCACCAATTCTACTCCTAAGGATAGAGATAAATTAAATAAAAATATATGGCTATGCAAAAACTTGTGCACAAGTGTGCATGGCATCATTATTCATAACAGTCCAAAACTGGAAATAACTCAAATGCCCTCCACCTAATGAGTGGATAAATAAAAATATGTGTTATTCCTACAAAAATATGGGATATCCATACAATTCTGCAATAAAATGGAACAAAGTTCTGACACATGCTACAACATAGATGAACCTTGAAAATATGCTAAGTGAAAGTAGCAAGGTTTCAAAAGACTACATATTATATAGTTTCAGTTATATAAAATGTCCAAAATAGGCAAGTCTATAGAGATAGGAGGTAGATTAGTGGTTGCCTAGTACAAGGGAAGAGGGGACAGAACACGGAGAGTGACTGCTAATGGTATGGAGTTTCTTGTGGGGATGACAAATATTATCTAAGAATTGATTGTGATGTTGGCTGTACAATTCTGAACATATTAAAAGGCATTGAGTTGCAGATTTTAAGTGGGTGTATTTTATAGTATATAAATTACAGTTCAGTAAAGCTGTTACACAAAAAAGACTACACCTGGGCTATGAGCTTCTACTAGTGAAACAGTAAAGAAGCAGAGAATGAGCAGAAGGAAAAGAACAGTCCTGCAGCAAAGCTGAGCACCAAGGTAAGGGGCTGGAACTGGAGCTGGTAGAATTGTGCTAGAGATTTTATAAAAACAACTCAAACTTTAAAATATTAATTGTCCACATAACTATTCTTATCAGTATCCTTGACTTTAAAATTACATAATTATGCATACTTGTTTTTTATTAATGGTATTTTAGGGGAAAAGCATACTTTGAAATCAGTCATAAGATGGTTTCAATCCAATATATCCCACTTACTAGCTGGTTGACCATAGGAAAAACCATTTGTAGTGTGTGAAATGGGGACACTAATACTTCTCTCTTACTCTCACAATACATAAGAGGTTCCTGTAGCTGGCATGGTGTTGGACTCAAATGGTAGCTGTTACTAGAAGTAGTAGTAATAATCATTATCATTCAGAGTGATGATTACTGCCAGTTTGCCATACTCCACTGACGTTCTGCCAATAGGATAATTCAAACTGCATTACTTAATAGGATAGTTTCTAGCCCCTACCAGAGGATGTAGCTAAAAAAGCTTTTCCTTTCTATTTCATATCAAACAGTTATGAAATGGCAAATATTTTTTATTTTATATAAAATATGGGAGCAAGTAAACATAAATAACTGTATTTAAGCCAATGGTAAATCATTACAAGGTGACATAAGTCTCTCACGGTTCTGTCACCATTTAGAAAAGAAAATAAAGCTTGATGTATAGAAAATAGGAGACTAATAGAAATTGAAGTTTCAAAAAGGAGAGGAAGAGCAAGAAAAAAAAAGCAACTGAAAGCAAATAATTATTATTCTGTCAATATTTTAAATGGAGATTTATAGTTATGACAATAACATAGGAAAAACACATATAAACTATATATGTTGTAATATCATTCTGTGACACAGCATAGTATACAATAATTCATAATACTTAGGGCCAAATATTTGCCTATCCATTTTACAGAGTTTCTCCTTTAACTTTGAAAGGTTAATTAAACATCATGTTTTTGTGCATTCATCCATAACACCCCTGCTAAAATGGCAGTAAAGAAATGAAATGACATTAAGCCACAGGAATGAAATAACATGAAAACAGAAAAGATAGATAGTTCTATATTTTACTAGGAGATGGAAAAATTGGTAGATAATGAAAGAGAGCAGATAAATGAGTGGTGGCACACCACTTAGTACTCATGAAAGGCTTAGCACTAAAAAAACACACAGCATCTTAGAAGGTGAGGTGTAGCACAGAGCTGAAAACAGGTTATAAGTCTTTTATACTAATGGAAAACCATGGTTGGGTCCCAAGATCATGCTTCGTAGCTGGGCAGTATTTTCTCTACTCTCATTCCAGGAGAGAGATTGGAGATTTACCAGGTACAAGGCATAGCATAGGTGGATTAAGTAAAGATCTACGTAGTAATAAAGAGTGGAATCTCCAGTTCCATTACCCCTTACTATTCCCAGAATATCTCCAAGAAAAAAACTAGAAGATTCTTAACTATGGTAATTGAACAGCCCCAGAGAATAGCCTCTCTTTTGTTCATGGAATAACCAGCTCACTAACCAACCAAATTTAATGAAGCCCGGTCTTAAGAAGATACACCTTGGCACACAGAGCTTCTGTGTCCCGCTGTCGAATATTAATGGACATCCAAAGATACTTTTGACATTTGAAGATACTTCCAACATAAAAAGCAGAAAGTGGATAGCTGAGTAGGAGGAAAGGGCTATCTTACGTAACATCATTGGGTGATATTGGAAAAGACTCTTGATAACTCGTACCATTCATTAAATACTAATTTTTTGGAAAATAGCAGCTGCTATGTCTCACTTAATGTAAAGGTTAAAGACATGTACCTGATACCTTCATTTACCCATGCATTTCAAATATTACTGAGTGTCTTCTCATTTCTAGGTACTAGGCAAATTACTAAGGGTAAACAAAGATGAAAAAAACAGTTTCTCGTTAGTACAGCTAAAACTCTGGAGGAAAAGAGACATGCACAAACATACACATGGAGAGAAAATATAATAAAGTATGATAAATGATAAAAGAATAAGATAGGCACAGTTTGAGGCATCGTATGGAAAAAATAATTAAATGTTTGGGAGAGTCTGCTTCCCAAAGCAGGATTAAGACATACTTTAAAACAAACTCACTAATGCAATTACGCATATAAATATGCGCTTTTCAAGATCATATAAGCAAAATTTTATAATTTAAAAATATTGAAAGCTTTTCTCCCTTTGAAAACTAAGACTTATATGTAAACTCTATTTCAAAGAAATGTTCTACTTCATCAGGTGATCTTAGTAGGACTGCAGTTGTAACAGTGGAGCATATTCATGTTAATCTACAGCTGGATTGGGCTGTTTCCAACTTTGTGCTATTATGATAAAGGAATTTTAAATGGTTAAAGAATTGGCAATGAGCTTTGAACAAATTGTATTAAAACCCTTCAAGTATTGCATTTAATTAAGCAATAATAATACATCAACGGCTTTAGCAAGCTGTTAGTTAATTTGTCTCATTTCACATTCACCAGAAGAATACATATAAAGATGTAACAAATAGTATTTTCTAAATAATCATAATTTTTTCTCCATCAAGGACACATATTAAACAATCTCCTAAATGCTAATATTTTGGGATAATTTGGTTCCATGTCAAACACTCAGGGTCTATCTACTCTTTTGTTCTAGTAAAACTCCAAGAGTAGACATTAATTACACTATTTTACATATACTATGAAGAACTGGCAATTACCCAGTATGGGTTTTATCCTGATTTTTCAAAAGCATCTTTATTTTGTTTTGGTATTATCTATATAACTACATAGAAATGACCAGTAGCAATTGTGAAGAGAAGAAGGAAAAACCTGTTTACCTTATATATACATACAACTTTTTTGAATGTTATCATAGGGTACTACAATTGGTGGAGTAGTCACTGGTAGAAATGCATACAAGTCACACTATCTGGTTGTCCTGAAGGTTGATAGTTGCAATTTACATTTCCATGAAATCTTTTCTCTTTAAAATTTGCTTTGTGTTGACAGGACAAAATTTTAACCCAAAGATTAGCAGATCCTAAGATATTCCATCAGGTGTTTGTTGATACCCAACAAAAGCCTGATGGTTTTGTTTTGATTTTATTGCTAGATTCATCACATAAATTTGGTCTTATATTGTGTAATACATTACCCTTTTTACGAAAGTCCATATACTACATTCTGGTATACTCAAGGTAACTTCTGGAGATAGATAGAATTGCCTTATTCTCATATTAAATTTTAGGAAGTTGAAATTGAAAGCAATTTAATACCTTTTTAAGTCATCAAGCAGGTTAATGGTTAGATGAAATTAACAGCCAATTTAATTCAAGTCTACTGCAAGGGTCCTTTGTGACATTTATGACCAGATTTATTATGAATGCAGAGATATAACTGAAGTTTTCTTATTGCCTTACCAAATACAGGATAAATGAGAAATTATGAAATGGTATTGAAAGTATTAAGACTAATACAAACAATGGCTCTAGGTAAAATACAACTATGATATAACTGAGGATAACATTAAATTTTTCAAGAGGCATGGATATACTGACATTGACTATCTCTTGAGATATTTGGATTTTAGCTGGAGAGTTTGATTATATAGTAGTTTAGTGTCATTAGTATCTATTTAAAGTAAATTTGATCAACTGGTATTTTTCTATCATAGTAGATGCAAATCACATAGTCTTCAACATTTTTGTCCAGCCATATCACTCATTATCATGTGCAAAACATTGTACTATAATTCTTTTCATTGTGGAGCCAAGGAACACTGTGGCAACAGATAAGAAATCATTTTGACGCTTGTGTTCATTTTGTTCACTACTCACCCACCCAATATTAGAGATGAGCTAACTACAGCCTAAGGCAAGATTGTTGCATAGTGACCGACCTGGAACCTTCTCATTCAGTCGTCTCCTTCACTATCTGTCGCATTCCAGACATATTGCATATGTCTGGAAAATAACTCATAAATTTAGCTAACTAGAATGGGAATGTCAATGATTTTTAACATCACTGATCATTAGGGAAATGCAAATCAAAACCACAATGAGATACCATCTCATGCCAGTCAGAATGGCAATTATTAAAAAGTCAAGAAATAACAGATGCTGGCGAGGTTGTAAAGAAAAATGAATGTGTTTACATTGTTGGTGAGAGTGTAAATTAGTTCAACCATTGTGGAAGACTGGTGATTCCTCAAAGACCTAGAAGCAATACCATTTGACCTAGCAATCATTTTATTATGTAGATAGATGCACACATATGTTCATTGAAGCCCTATTCACAATAGCAAAGACATGGAATCAACCCAAATGCCTAGCAATTACAGACTGGATAAAGAAAATGTGGTACATATATATCATGGAATACTATGCAACCATAAAAAGGAACAAGATTATGTCCTTTGCAGGGACATGAATGGAGCTGGAAGCTGTTGTCCTCGGCAAACTAACGCAGAAACAGAAAACCAAATACTGAATGTTCCCACTTGTAAGTGGGAGCTGAATGATGAGAACACATGGACACATGTGGGAGAACAACACACACTGGGGCCTGTCGTTTTTGGGGGGTATGCAGGGGGAGGAAGAGCATCAGGAAGAACAGCTAATAGGTGTTGGGCTTAATATGTAGGCAATGGGTTGATCTGTGCAGCAAACCACCGTGGCACATGTTTACCTGTGTAACAAACCTGCACATCCTGCACATGTACCCCAGAACTTAAAATAAGACTTGAAGAAAAAAATAAAATAAAAATTTTAAAAATTAAAAAAAAATTCTATAAAAATGAATTTAAACTATAAACCCAATTTTTGGTCAGTGCTTTAGATATGATAATATTTTCTAGAGAAGAGCCTAGGGATATTTTCTATTTACAAGCAAATAAACATTATTTTATAACAGATTATTTCCAACCCAGTCTTCACCTACATATTATGGAAATGTTAAATTATAATTATATTTATTTAACATTCTCATATCTTTCTATTTGACTTCCTTCCAAAAGGAGAACTAAGCAATTACCTGATGAATTTAATGATTGCATACAGTCATCTGAATAATTATAAAAAAAACTAAAATGTTTTTCCCATAAGCCAGGAAACAGTTGCTTATTTGATTGCTTTTATTTGCATTGCAAATTTTTATTTTACTCTGCAGTATTTTTTTCAAAATACAGTTAAAAGGTACTTAAAATAATGCACCTAAAAATCGACTTTTTGATATCATGGGATGAGTCAGTATATCTTATAAGATATATGAAATGAGGTTAGTCTTCCTCAGTTAACCAAATAACTCAAGAAAATCATAAACTATTAAGGGTTATGTTATTTAGGCCTGCACTATTTGTACTAGTTTTGTCTACACTACTTACATCCTTTTACAACTTCTTGGATTTTTTTCCCTTAATTTTGCACTTTGTGGCTGTTTTTTACAGTTCACAGTCAGCTTAATTGAAAAGAACAAGAGAGATTCAACTTCGTCTTAAACTGAGATCGATATCACCAAATTAGTGCAATTTGTCCTTAATAAAATATTCTTTCTGCCAAAAGCTCAAAGAACAGACAATTAGTGTGTTGTCTATTAAGACATGTCCCTCATTCTGCATATCTAAGATTAAAAATAAACAAGACCTTAAAAGCACCAGTGTTTTCAGGATCTTTCTCCTAAGCATTCAGAAAGAACTGGTCTGAACTTTAATTCACTTTAAACAACTTAAAAGCAGTGAATTTAAAAACTAACTGAGATTCTGGCCTCTTTCTCACTGAGAGCAAGGCCTCTAAAATGTAGTCTATCTAAAGAAGCAGCCTACAGTGTTAATTCTATGGCATCCGCTACTCAGAGAAACCCTTGCTGAGTGCTGTGACTGTGTCCTGCCTGCCAGGTTAAGTATCTGTGCACTGAATAGCAAATGGAATACCTCTAGGGCACAATGTCCTGTTGCAGCACGCAAGGTGCATTTTCATCACTGACACCTAACCAATTTGTTTGCTGCAGTAGCAATAGCAGAAGCATCTGAAACTGTATATTCCTCTTGCATCACAGATGGGGTATTTTCCACACCTTCACTTAACATAACTACTCCCAAGATAGATCATTAAATTGTAAACTCCAGCTATGTAAGTCCAAATATGTCATCTGGAAACACCTTAAAGTTGAGGTCTTCAGCTCTCCAGATTGCAGGTTGGTTCCTATGGACAACTTGCTGTTTGCACTATCATTGCAGAAACTCTGTGTATAAAGTGGAGATATTCTTAATCTGCTTGTTGAGGAAATATAACTTTGGACTTTATCCATGGCTGTCATCTACAAGATTTGTTACAAATTACTTTCAGTTACAAGTGTAAAGTCAAGGCTGTCAATATCATATCTTCTAGAGAAATTACTGTGTCCTATTAGGAAAGTTATAAATCTGGACTTCCTCTGAAATTATTTTCACTGTACTCTGCTAAGAGTAGCCATAAACACTCTGTCATATATTTATAAGGGACAAAGACAAGAACTGTGCAAGTCATGGCATAGGAAATTGAGGCTAAAAAACTACGTGAGAGAATTAAAACATAAAATAAATGCTAATGATAATCTGACGTCATTACCCATAATTCTGCTAACATTTCTGACTACTAAGTGCCAAGCATTATGTTTAGTATTTTATATACGCTATCTCATTTAAATATATGATACCAGAAGAATATCATGGATGACTTCACCAATGGAAGGAAGGTGGGCTGGAAAGCACAGGCTTGGTCTATAAGAAAGACTCATCTAAGATCAACTTAGTGTTGGGAAATGGGAGAACAGAAAGGATCTCTCGTTAACAGTAGCTCCTTTCTGGGAATATGAATCTAAGACAGTCAGGCTTAGAGTAAAACTCAGTCTTGGGAAGGTGCATCTGTGGACTACAAAGGCGGTGCTCTGTACAAAATAAATAAATAAATAAATAAATAAATAAATAAATAAATAAATATCTGTCCCACCTTTCTCAGCATTGGAGACCTGTTTCAGTGGTGAAAAATTGCCACCTTCCAAGAAGCATACAAGCTTCTAAGGTCTTTTAAAGAAGATTTGGGGAATTCCTGGCAGGCTAACTGGACTCTTTGCAAGCTACCAAACATTAGTCGAAAACGATTTAAGGCCAGGAACGGAAAAGGTCACGTATTCTCTCCAGGTCAAAGCACTACAAACATATGCTAAGGCATCTCCTGGATAAACCACCAGGCATGCCTGAGAATAAAATTGTGAATAAATCCTGACCCTATTACCTTGCCTATCTTCCTTCTCATGCTCCAGCACCACTTCTTTTTCAGAAAATGCATTCTTCATGAAATTGTGGGTAAATTAATCCCTGGGCCCACCCAATGGCTGTTCACGATCCCACTTCCTAAGTCCTCTACCTATAATTCCCGTTTTGCTTTCTTTATCTGACCTCTCTCATTGCTAGCCACCCAGCTGGATAAAAAGAGTCACTGGGAAGAAGACGCAAAGATGAAAAAATGTGAGGCAAAAATCATTTTATTTTAAAGGTTTTCGGAAAAGTGATTCACGTCATTTTTCGGATTCCATGAACAGATAATCTCGAAGGTATCACTCAAGTTTAAGAGACTGGACTTTTTTCTCCCCCGCCCTTCTCCACGCATCAGTGAAAGAGGAGGGAGGAGACGGAGGAGAGAAGAGGCAGGGAGGCGAAAAAGTGACAGAAGCAAGAGAGAAAGGGAGAGAGGGGTGTTGAAGGAAGGAAGGGAGGAAGGCAAGAGGAGAGGGCTGCTAGGCGTGCTGGAGAGCCTGGGGCGTCCGCCCACCCGCAGGCGCCCCGGACCCGCAAGGGCGGCGCAAGACTTCCCCAGCGCGCAGTCAGCGTCGCGGCCCCGAAAGCTGGCGACAGGCGCTGCTGTCTTCCCGCCCCGTGGGGTCGCCCCTGCCCTCCCGCGCCCCGGGGCTGGGGGCGCCACCTTGCCAGCTCCGACTGCTGCAGGGAGCGCCAGGGGTGAGTGTGCGGATCAGCGCTGAGCCCGGGAGTGCGGGTCACGCCCGCAGCTGGCGCGCAGGTGGGGAAGGGGTGTGGGGACGTGGGGAGTGGGAGGCTGGACAGCGCTTGCTCTCGGCGGAAACGCTGGGAAGCCGGCGCCAAGTCCTTTCCCACACTACTTTGATCTAACAGCGCAGGAATTCAAGAATTGCCCTTTCCCTTTTCTGCCCACAACCTCTGCTCCCTGGGGGCGAAGTTCTGTGGTGCTAGGCGGAGATAGTGGTCAAGGCTGGGAGGAAGGGAGGGGTCTGACCCGGGCCCAAGGGCGAGGGGTGGCGGTCCAAGCCGGCGAGACCCCACTTAGGGCGCAGGCTCCTGGCGCTCCTACCTCGGGAAGCCGCTGGGGTGGAGAGAGACGGGGCACGGGCCAGAATCCAGCAGCGGAAGGAGGGGAGAGTCTTCGAATCCATCTCTCGGTGGGATCTTGAGAGGATTCGCGGGGGGGACGGTAAGATAAATCTGAGGAGCTGGAAGAAGCCGTAGATCGGAAATCGCTTGCAGTTTTCCAACTTTATTTCCCGCGGGTACGAACCATTAAGGTAAAAGGGTCAGAGAGAGCTTCTACCTCGCGGCTGCAGCTTGCCTAGTTGCCGCAGGTCTGACTCAAGGTAGGGTTGTTGGCGCCTTCCTGTTTGGAGGGGCAATCAAGCAAAAGAGAAAGGGGGATCCGAGAGACCGGCGGAATGAGGGTTCATCCTCAGGGGTCCTGCCCCTAAAGGGGCTGTGAGAGCTCAGGGATGAGTAGAAAAAATGCAAACGGAGATGGGCATTTGGGGAGGTTCCAATGCTGGATGTGATGTTGAGGTTATTTCAGTTTGCATGAAAGAGGTGGCCACTGATGGGGCCCTGGATGAGAGAGCCTTTCGTAAGGACAGGCACTTTGGAAGAAGCCTTAAGGAGCAGATTTTGTTTTTCCTGCATGTTAATTACTTCCCAGGCACCTTGACGATCGTAATATAGTTAAGATGATTTGTTAGGTGAATATTTAAGATGACATAAGCAGGTGGCATTAACCTCTCCCCCATATTCTGGAACAGATATATAATTATTACAATTTGATTAAATTTTAGTGGATATGCTATGCCAAAAAAAAAAAAAAGAGAGAGAGAAAACAGGAAAACAGTACAAATTTTAAAACGGGTTTCGCTCTAGTTCTATTTACATACAAGTCTTTGAAATTTGATTTGATGATCAACAGTCTAATGATGCTTAAGTTTGGTGTGCCCCATTTGTCTGTGTGTTTCTTGTGAGAGGTGGAATGAACTCTGGGCTACATTTCGCTGATAAAGTGAGGGTATCCACGCAGAAGCAAACCCGAGGAAGACTCTGCCATCGCCTCTGGGCTTGCAGTCTCTTCCTCTTCTTCCTCTCCATTTTCCCCTCCCCAAACTCATAAACAGGTCCAAGCATCACCACTTCGTGCCTTCCCTAAGGAAAGAGTCGTTCATGCTTCCCCCCACCCCATTCTAATCTTTGTTTCAAAGTGAGTCTTGAGAATGAGAGTATGTATTCACTGTTTCCAATCAAAAGGGGTTTTCTAAGCTTTGGGAGAGGTGGTTCAATAAAGGAACAAACTCAGATGTTTCTAGAACAAATTTTACACTTGCCTGCTATTAACTTAGGAGTTCCTATGAAAATAACTTATTTTACTAATTTTTAATCCAAGGAAGTTCAGTATATTTTTCCACACGTCTTTCAGTTAGTATGAATCATTTATTCACGCTTCATCCAAGTGGGCTTATTACAGAGCTAATGAGCTTAAGTTATATTAAGGGATTGTTCCTTGTCAACAGCATACAAATAACTTATTTGTTGGAATGAGGACTTTAAAGAATAATGCACTTTCTGCCATCTTGCCGCATTAGCCAAATTTTATTATATAAATGGGTGGGATTGAGCAACAGCACATTTGTAAAGTCAACTTGTTCACTTTTTAAAAATGAATATATTAACTAGTTATATTGTTTTTATTGTTCTTATAAAGACTACTATAAAGCTGTTAATTAAAATTATACACATACTTTTCTTAGAAGATATTTTATTTTTATTTAAAGTTGGGCGCATATTTTTCCCAAAGACTTTCAAAATTATGACTGACTTTTTTTTTTTTTTTTTTTTTTTTTTTTGAGATGGAGTCTCTGTCTCCACGCTGGAGTGCAGTTGCACAATCTCGGCTCACTGCAACCTCTGACTCCCTGGTTCAAGCGATTCTCCTGCCTCAGCCTCCTGAGTAGCTGGGATTGCAGGCGCATGCCACCACACCCAGCTAATTTGTATTTTTAGTAGAAACAAGGTTTCACCATGTTGGCCAGGATGGTCTCGATCTCCTGACCTCGTGATCTGCCCGCTTTGGCCTTTCAAAGTGTTGGGATTACAGGCGTGAGCCACAGCGCCCGGCCAACTTACTTCTTAATCAGAAATAAAAGGAGTGATAGTTTAAATTTTCTTATCTAGCAAATGTGGTCTTTTTTGAATTTGATTAACTTTTACTGAAATCATTTTAAAGATGTTTGAAGGGCACTCTCTAGTACGTTAGTAATAACTGGGTAATGTAAAACAACATGGACATAGCGATATTTGCAAAACCATGGCAGGATTCTCTTTTTTTTCCAATATGAAAGGTGGACGGGATGCTGTTTGAGGCAGGGTAAACAAGATGCTGTGTGTTGCCTTCTGGTTGTTAGCTGAAAGCACTATTAATCTTTCAGTGGCCAGGTCCAGAAACCCCTAGGGAAACATATGTAGTGATCCAACCTAGAACCACAGTTCCCGTGCCCTGTAAGTGGAAACCTTACTTTTCCATTCCCTCAGCCTTAAATTAGACAGAGAAGAAATACTAATTTCTGATCTAAAAGTGAGAACCTTGAAGTGCAGTAGGAAAACTCAAAATTGACATCTGAAACAGACATGATCCTTCCATTTGAAAATGAACAAAAGAGACATATTTTAGAGCCTAGAAATGAACAGAAATAGGCAAAAATTACATCAATGAGTATGAAAAAGGGGAAACTCTATTAATTTCATAATCTTTCCAATTTCTTTGTGTTATTTCCTTCTCTCAGAAGTAATATGTGTCCATTTAACCCAGGGTACAGAGCTCGTATTTTCTTCTATGTACAGTGGGAAGACATGAAAGCATTTCAGCAGGAAACTGTTTCCCCAATAACTTCTTGCTATTCTGTGGAGAGTTTCTGTTGGAAGACAAGAAGGGAAGCAAGAAGGCTGTCAGGCAGTCACTAGTGTTTGCCAGCCTAGTCTTTAACCAGGATGTATTGTAGAGATGGTGAGAAGTGTGTGAATTCTGGATGTATTTGGAGGCAAAGGTGACAAGACTTGATGATAGATTAGATATGGTGGGTGTTGGAAGGAAAGGAATTGAGGCTCATGTCTAGATTTATGACCAGAGCAACAGGAAAAAATGCAGTTGTCACCAACTGATATGAGAAGACAAAGGAACAGTTACATTTTGAGCAGCTTACTAGATATCTAGGTGCAGGCATAACGGGTAGATGGGACAGAGCTCAAGGAAAAAGCCAGAGTTGGAGATAAGAATGTGTGAGTCATCATTATATAAATGGCATTTAGAAGAACGGGATTTTATGAAATAATTTCAGGGGAGAATGTATTTAAAGGATCAAGCTGAGAAAAGAGTTCTAGAGCAGTCCAAAATATGGATATTGAAGAGGGTAGGAGCCATAAAAGGAAACTGAGAAGGAGCAGTTAGTGGAATAGGGAAAAATCCAGAAGGGTGTGATATTATGGAAGCCAAAAGAAGAAAGTACTTTTTTTAAGAAAAAAGGAAGTGCTGATCAGCTGTGTCCAATGTTGCTAAAGTACAAAATTATGTAAAGGCAAAGAATTACCTTGGAATTAAGCTATTTCAGTCAAAATGGTGGTGACAAGATTGATCTTTAAGAATTGAGCATAGATTGGTGACCTAGTGATTCCAGTTCTAGGAATTTATCTTATAGATATGCTTGCACTTAAGTAAAAATAATAATAGATGTTCACAGTTACTCTTTGCAGTTTTGTACATAAGCAAACAATTGAAAACAACATAAATACGTATACATAGAAAACAAGCCAAATAATCTATATATAGTAGTCCCTCCTTATTCAGTTTCACTTTCCCTAGTTTCAGTTACCGGCAGTCAACCGCAGTCTAAAAATGTTAAATGGAAAATTTCAGACATACAAAAATCATGTTTTAAATAGCATGTCATTCTGAGTATTGTTATAATTGTTCTTTGTTATTAGTTATTGTTGGTAATCTCTTACTGTGCCTAATTTATGAATTAAAGTTTATCATAGGTATGTATGGATAGGGAAAAACATAGTGTGTATACAGAGAGTTTGGAGTTATTCATGGTTTCAGGCATTCACTGGGGGGTCTTGGGCCTATGCCTAATAGATAACTAGGAACTACTGTATGTACATTCAATGGAATACTATCTGGGTGTTAAAATTATTAGGCAGCTTTCCATATGTTAAAATTAAAAGATCTGCAAAGTCTGCTAAGCTAGCAGAAAAAGTTGCAATGCAGTATGTTTGAAATGCTATCATTTATTACAGAACAAATCAAAATGAGCCTTTATATGAAAACATATTTTAAAAACAGTAGACAATAGTAGTTTCCTACAAGGAAGGAAACTGGATGGTAGGGTAAAATGATAGAAGGAAGATAAACTCTGTTTTTATATACTTTAATACCTTTGAATCACGTGCACATAGATTAGCTATTCAAAACCCTAAATAAAACTTCACGCATGAATCTGAAAAAAAAATGTAGCTTAAAATATGAAAGAAAATAAAGAATGGGTGATGAGGAAATTAATACTATGTACCACACAACTCTGAAAAAGTTTCAAAAAGAAGATTAAAAGTAGCTGGAGTGGGCCATGGAGACTTGTTTTTAAAATGGGAGTTACTAATGTCGGAAGTAGACCAATGAGGATAAACTACACAGAAGGCAAAGCTGATGGTGGGACAAAAAGGAATACTGTGGGAGCAAACCCTTTAATAAGTGGTAGGGGATGGCATGACTGGTGCTAGTAAGAGAGGGAACTAGCAGGTTGAGGAACAGGGACAGTGCCATTTCCCAGAAACTCCCAGATTTGGATCTGTCCTTTGGCCAGCATCCTACATTCCTAAAGCTAAGTGTGCTTGGGACAGTTGCATGTACAATTGCAGTTGATGGCATCATAAAGTCTCAGGTCTTAATGTCATTCGGATCATCACTCTCATCAAATCTTTCTTACCATTGGTTGCCACTCCCTCCAGTTTCCCACCTGCTCCAAACTAACACTGTCTCTGCCCCCTCCCCCTTCAGTCTCAGGACAGTTCTTCACCGGGACTTCAGAGGTTCTCAAGAATGAATCTCCCTCACCAGTTCCAACTCCTGTATGTCTATCTGCTCAGCTCCTCTGCTTCCCTCTAGGCCGATTGTCAAGCTGACCACCCTCTCTGCTCTGGGTCCCACAACTGCCCCCACTCCAATCTGAATTTTGCTTCATAAACAATTCTTTTAACCACCTGCAACTTGAGCCTCTTCTGTATTTCATGACTTTGTTATTTAAAGGTATTAAGATTATATCACTCCCATCCATCCATAAAACCAGCAGAAAAACAGCAAAACTCTCATGACCCTGACCCCCCTCCACCCGCCGTAGCTAGAGTCCCATTTGATCTTTTCTCAGCTATCTTCCCTCAAAAAAAAAAAACCTAATTTTTATTTCCTGTCACCAGCTCCTCCACTCCCATTAACTCCTCTCCCACCACAGGCCGGATTCCACTCCCACGATCCCATGAAACTACTTTGGCAATAGTCACTATATTATTAAATCAGAAGCTACTGATCACTGAAAACTCAGCTCACCGAATGACTCAGTAACATTGGACAAAGCTAACCATTAATCATCCATGCCTTATTTTTCCTGAGGCTCAGAGACACTTGTCTTTCCTGTGAAGTCTCTGACAGCACTCTCTTGGTCCCCTTATTATATCTTTGATTTTTACTTCTTCATTCGTTTGGTGATCCTCTTCCATTGCCCATTCTTAGCTCTCTTGTTCATTCACTTCCATTTTATGTTTTGGTCAAAGATCCTTTTGAGAGTCTCAAAACAAAAATAGGAAAAAATGAAAATAAAAACAAACTATGTCATTTCTCCCCAAGGGAAAAATGCACATAGATACAAATATTTGCAGATAATTTTAGACAATTAGCAGACTCATTTAAGTCCATCAGTGAGAGTTGGGAATCTTTCCCAGGCTTTCTTATAAAAAAATTTCATCAGCTACTGTAATTTCAGCAACACCAAATGAGATGATGAATCCTAGTTTGTCCAAATGTGAAGGTGACTCTCAGTTCTAGCATTACCCAATAATAGTCCCCTTTTGGTATATCCAAGTCGTTATACATACTGCCTTCATGATTTTTTTTCATACCTGCATACAACAATGTTTCTTATTTATATCATTTCTTTAAATTGAATCATATTTTAAAATAGCAATAAATAAAAATAAAATCCTTATCAATATTGTTAATGGAAAATTGATACTACTGCCACAAATAAGATGAAATGATAAAAAGAATATAGCAAACAACATAGTGATATTATTACATTTTAATTAGGTATTTATTCTCAGCTAAAAGACTTGAGCCCGAGGCTGATATTCTGTTGAAGTAAAAAGTAGATGAGCAAAAGTTAAGAACAAACTTCCACCAAGCTAGAAGTCTTTGAAGTGGTTAATCCAAAGGGAAAGGAAATTGAAAGGAGAATAAAACCCTCACTATCTGATACAACATTATGTAATTCCATGAGCTGGTACAAGTAGTCCCCTGAGTAGCACCAGTAGGATACATCCTGGCATTGGGGTAAATTCCCCTCTCTTCTGCATATCTAGCCCAATCCTCCCTATTAAACTAAAAGCCCTCAAGATGGTAACATGGACAGATGGATGACCTCCATGCTCAGTTAACAGGTTCATAATTAAACTCATCTTTCTCCCCTAAATGTTTAAGACTCATATAGTCCATATTCTATCAGAGAGACTCTCCAAATTTCTTTTTTAAAGTTTTTCTCCAGACTCAGCCAAATACAGTCAGACTACTCTTAGATGGGTCTCTCGAATATACTATACTTTCCTGATCATTCATTACTTACTTATTCAATATGCTTAGTCTAGACTCTTTCAATACCTTCCAAACTCATCTCCCTGAATCTAGCCTTGCCCTCATTTGTCGTTTTTCCCATATTGTCACCAAATTAACTTTAGGTATTAGTTCTGTCTCATGCTTAAAATCCTTTAGTGGCTCCTCATGTCATTCTGGGAACAAGCCAAGCCCTGTAGCTCATCCTTCCAAGTCCTTCTTCCTCTGAATTTCTGCTCCAACTTTACTTTCAGCCACCCTTCCTTGCCAGCCCACTAGCTATGCTCAGCAACAGGGAACTACTCACACTTCTCTGACATAGGTTTTCCTTTCTTCTCTCAGCTCTGAATATCCTTCCTTCCACCTGGCAAATTCTTAGTCATTTGCCAAAATTTACATGGATTTGTTTTTCTTCCCAGACTTCTTCCTTTGCTAAAAAGTAATTCACTCCTCTAAAGTAGCTGTGATCCTTTTGTAAATATCCATAGTGCATTCACCATGCTGTTTGTATTTTATTTATTTACATGTCTCTTCTCTCCAGTTAGGCTAGTGAGTACCTGGAGGCAGAAATGGAGTCTTTTCCATCTCTGTATCTTCAGACTGAATGAACTGTAGTGCTCAGCACAAACAGCATCAAAGGGAAACTTCTGTGACTCTTGTGTTGCCTGAGTTAAGAGCAACTGTAAACAAGCCATGTTATGTAATACTTTACAACTACCCTTGAGTAGGAGTGATTTTCTGGAAATCACCTCAAAAAATTGTCTTTCTTGGTTCATTGGTACTCTGTCTATGGCATTTCTCTCTTTCAAACTGTTTCATAAAATTAAAAGACAAAATAAAACCCCAGAGAAGTTTCCTAATGTAATCTTCTGTATCTACAGTCTTTAAGACAGATGGCTATTTCTCTTATTTAACAAAATATCAAGAAAAGTATATAGTCTCACTCAATAACCCACTTTAGTGTTAAGCTGCCTTTATTTTTCGTATACAATATAAATTGACATTACTATAGTTATTTCTATTCTTTTTTCTTGAAATGAATATGGAGTTACATTTTCCTTATGTCAAACTTTCATCTATTTCAAAACAATGCCAACTAATATTGAACAAAAATATCTGAATTAAATCTGGAGTTATTAATAAGCACTCATCTTTTGCAGAGGCTTAACTTTCTAGCTTATCTAGGATTCAAAGCTCTTTGGTGCTAATTTAGCTTCAGTCTTTCCTTTCTTTTTGTATTATCTCCTCATCTTATACCTTATAGTATACCAGTGTAGTAGCACACTTATAGTGAAAATTAGTGGAGTAAAATCTTGTTTGTGTGAACCCAGAATATCTGAAACAGGTCTCAATTAATTTAGAAAGTTGATTTTGCCAAGGTTAAGAGTGCACCTGTGACACAGACTCAGGAAGTCCTGACGACATGTGCCCAAGGTGGTCGGGGCACAGCTAGGTTTTATACATTTTAGGGAGACATGAGACGTCAATCAATATATGTAAGAAGTACGTTGATCTGGTCTGGAAAGGTGGGGCATCTTGAAGCAAGGGCAGGAGGACTTGCCAGGAGGGAGCTTCCAGATCACAGATAGGTGAGACACACACAGTTGCATTCCTTTGAGTTTCTGATTAGCCTTTCCAAAGGAGGCTATCTCAGTGAGCAGAGGGATGACTTTGAATAGAATGGGAGGGGAGGCAGGTTTGCCCTAAGCAGCTTGCAGCTTGAGTTTTCCTTAGTGATTTTGGAGGCCTAAGATATTTTCCTTTCGTATTGGAGATAGATAGTTTATAGAAGTAAAAAGAAGTATATACATTAAAATAGTCAAGGTTATATCCAAATACCTAGACATGAAAAGCCCTTATTTTATAATTATGTTTTGATCCTTTAATACTTTGTTTTTAAGTCATTTGTGATATTTAGAAAAATATATAAAGCATGGCTTTGCTTTCTTTCTTTCCTTCCTTCCTTTCTTCCTTCTTTTTCTTTCTTTCCCTCCCTTCTTCCCTCCCTCCCTTCCTTCCTTCCTTTTCTTTCTTTCCCTCCCTCCTTCCCTCCCTCCCTCCTCCCTCCCTCCCTCCCTTCCTTTTCTTTCTTTCCCTCCCTTCTTCCCTCCCTCCCTCTCTCCCTCCCTCCCTCCCTTCCTTTCTTCTTTTTCTTTCTTTCCCTCCCTTCTTCCCTCCCTCCCTCTCTCCCTCCCTCCCTCCCTTCCTTCCTTCCTTCCTTCTTTTTCTTTCTTTCCTTCCCTTCTTCCCTCCCTCCCTCCCTCCCTTCCTTCCTTCCTTCCTCCCTTCCTTCTTTCCCTCTTTCTCTCTTTCTTCTTTTTTTTGAGACATGGTCTTGTTTTGTCATCCAGGCTAGAGTGCAATAGTAGGATGATCACAGCTCACAGCAGCCTTGAAATTTGGGGGCCAAGTGATCTTCCCACCTCAACCTCCCAAGCAGCTAGAACTACAGGCCTGCACCACCACGCCAGGCTAATTTTTCTGTTTTCCTTCTGGAGACAGTATGTTACTATATTGCCTAGGCTAGTCTTAAATTCCTGGCTTCTAGCAGTCCTCCTGCCTCAGCACCCCCTCAAACTGCTGGGATTACAGGCATGAGCCACCGCTCCTGGCTTGATTTTGTTTTCTAATTATCATAGGAAGCAAAATTCCTGACCAGTGTATTAATAGCTAAGTAACATCAGAAAAAGACTAATTTGGCACATGCTTACAAGCAAGGGTAGCTTAGTTTTATGGTACACATAAAAGTAAATAGGTTAGTTGCATATTTTCATGCCTTTTTATTAAATAATGTTTGAAATAATAAGTCGCAGATTTGGAAAGTGCCCATTGCAACATTCTGTTTACATTTCATCCAGTGCAGCTACCACAACACAGCACTAATAATTCAAGGCATCTTTTAGCAGGTTCTTTAGAATCTTGGCAGCTGCTTGACAAGCCAAGGAGGACCCTTCAATCTTAGTAATTCTGGTTGAAATAAAAGCAATGGAGCTGTCTATTCTTACCTTTCCTAAATGAAGTCTAGATTGTATGATTTGGAGCCTTTCTGTTTTGAGAAAAGGAACCTGGATTTCAAATGCTCCAAAAACCATTTTCTCTCGAATTCATCTGTGAATTTTCCTTTCCCCTCTCTCTTCTGATTAAGTTCACTCAGCCACCATCAATTTTATAAGATATCAGAAGAGAGAAAATATTATTTATTTTATCTTAGTCATAATCCTGGAAAGGGCCTTCAAGTGTAAGGATTAAAATCCTGACAAACTTCATTTTCGTCTTAAAGAAGTTTACCAAGATTTAGCTCAATTCTATGCAAACTTCCTTTCTACATATATTCTCCCAGATTTACCCTCTCACTAAAAGCAGGTGCAACATCTCATTGAACATCATTGCTATCCTCAGGATCTAAGGGGGGAAAATCTATCCAGATTGATGCACTTTTTAAAAAGTATGAAAGCATCATACTACTGTGAAATTGTAAGTAGACAATTTCACTTCTGCAGTGATATTCAGAAAGGTTACAGTAAAACCAGTGTCATATATTGGAACATTACTCAGAAGCAGCATCTAATTTGACATAAGATACAAAATATGTACAATTCGTGTTACAGTAGGGAAGTGCTTTCTCAGTGAATGAATTCTAAAGCATAATAAAAGTCAGATCAGGTCTTCCAAACTGAAAAGTAGAAGGAATACTTCTGCCCAGTGTACAAACAATGGAGTAGGTAGAAGAATAATATAGAACTACATATAATTCCATGAGTACAATCATAGTAACTTGAGAATAAACTGATCATTTTTACAGTTTCATTCAGATATTTTATTACACGTTATCTTCAAGGGTGGACAAGAAGGATTATCCCCATTTTACAGAAGAGGGAAGTGATTCCCAGAGATGGTTTGTTTTATAGCCAAGAGCAGATAAATGGTGAAACTGGGCGTACAAATCCACATTACAATTCAGTCCTATCATTTTCCAGCTATAGATTTTGTTGCTCTTTGACCCTAAGTTATTAGAGAAAAAAACTGTATCCTCCTTTGATTTCATTTTTAATATGTTTTATCTTTTTATTATTTGTCAGGTTTAAAATAATAATGAATTGCAATATTTACACTTAAAACTAAAAAGTATTTTGTTTCATATTTCTCACCATCCAGGTGTTTCTGACATACAAAAATGTGATTTTATTTTAATAACATTTTCTTCATTGTTGAAAAGATGAATATATTTATAAAACTTTTTAAAGAATAAAATAAAAGCTAGGCTTGGTGGTGCATGCCTGTGGTCCCAGCTATTCGGGAGGCTGAAATGAGAGTAATGCTTGAGCCCAGGTGCTGAGACAGCCTGGGAAACACAGCAAGAGCTCATTGCTCAAAAAGGAAAAAAAAATTCTCTAAAATTGTATAACAGCATTCTCAAAAAAAATTGAGTATAACTGAATAGTGTATCTTAGCTTTTTAAAAAGTTTTGCTGAGTTGATAGCCAAAATTATATATCTCAATTCTTGATTTTGGTATATTTCCCATTTTATTATCTAGAAATTTGAATATCAGTATTTTTCCTATTTTTATTGTTATTTGAATTTCTCCTTTTTGAGTTGTCTGGCAGTTCTTTGTGCTCACGTTACTATAGATGTTTATTCTTCCAAAGCTTTGTCTGTTGTATGCTGCAAATTTTCCCCTCTGTTGATGTCTTTGAACTTGTTTCATAGAAATTATTGATAATATGTAATTTTAAATTTTAAATTTTATGTAGTTTAACAATTCAACTTTTTTACTTTGGTTTGGTTTTGGTTTTATGAAACCAACAGTAAGCTTGCAACTTTCCATCTAAAGATCTGTTGGACATTTCTTTATATCTTCTAATTTTGATTACCTTATTTATTTTAATTTAGAATTTTGATCAAGCTGAAATTCATATTTATATATCAAGTGTGATGAGTTGTTATCATAATGTTTTTTTCTAGAGTCAACCTTTTGATACTAATGCCATGTCTTTGAAAGTCATTCTATCCCCACTGTTATGAAATATTAATTTTACCATCTACTGGGTGTTTCTGTTTAAAGTGATGAGTTCTATTTAGTTGCTCCCTTATTTGATTGTGGCAGCAAGCCTACATTGCTTTTAGTTATTATAAATTTTGTAATATGTTAACAACTTGTAGAGCAAGGTTTTTTTTTTTACCACTCTTCTCCAAAATTTTCTTTATTCCCACCTATTTGTTCCTCCTTAGTGAGCATGGTCAATTTTGTGAGATAGCAGAAAAGTTAAGATATTTATTAGAATAGCAGTTTGAGTATAGATTAATGTGAAATGACTGACTGGATTTTCCACAGGGAAATACAGTGTCTCTGAATTAATTTAGATATTTCATGTTTGTCAATAAGTTTTATAACTGACTTCCTATGAGTTCCACGCATTTCTTATTTAGGTTTTTCCTGTGTATTTCATATCTTTTTTTTATTTTAAAATTGATGTATAATATTTTACATATATAGAGAGTACATGTAATATTTTGTTGCATGGATACAATGTGTAATTATCAAGTCAGGATATTTAGAGCATCTATCAGCTTGGGTATTTATCATTTCCATGTGTTGGGAACATTTCAAATTCTTCTAACTACTTTGAAATATGCATTAGGGAAAAGAGCTAATGCATGCTAGGCTTAATACCTAGGTGATGGGTTGATAAATGCAGCAAACCACTACGGCACACGTTTACCCGTGTAACAAATCTGCATATCCTGCACGTGTACCCTGGAACTTAAAAAAAGAAAAGAAAATGAAATATGCAATACACTGTTGCTAATTATAGTTACCATACTCTGCTATCAAACATTAGAACTTATGCCTTCTAACTAACCACATGTTTGTACTCATTAACCAAACACTTTTTTTTGCCCCATTTACATGCACATTCATTACTTTCATGAGAGCAACTTTTTTTAGCTCACAAATATGAGTAAGAACATGTGAAATTTGTCTCTGTGTCTGGCTTATTTCACTCAACATAATGACCGCCAGTTCCATGCACATGACTGCAAATGACATGATTTCATTCTTTTTTATTGGAAAATAGTATTCCATTGTGTATAAATCCCACATTTTCTTTATTCATCCACTGATGAACACTTAGGTTGATTCCATGTCTTTGCTATTATGAATAATGCTGCAATAAACATTTAAGTACAAGTATGCTTTGATATACTAATTTCCTTTGGATAAATATCTGGTAGTAGAGTTGCTGGATTGTATTTTTAGTTTTTTGGGAAATCTCCATACTGTTTTCCATAGTGGCTATACTAATTTACATTCCTGTCAATGTGTATAAAAGTTCTCTTCCTCTGTTTCCTTACCAGCATCTGTAATTTTTTGTCTTTTTAAAAATAGCCATTTTAACTGGGGTAAAACAATAACTCACTGTGGTTATGATTTACATTCCCCTTGTCCTTTGCCCACTTTTTAATGGAATTATTTGTTTTATTTTTTCTGTTGAGTTCATCGTATATTCTAGATATTAGTCCCTTGTCAGATGAATAGTTTGCAAATATTTTCTCCTATTCAACAGGTTGTCTCTTCACTCTGCTGATTATTGCTTTGCTGTGAAGAAGAGTTTTAGTTTAATATAGTCCAATTTTGTTTCTGTTGTCTATGCTTTTGAAGACTCAGCCATAATCTTTTCCTAAACCAATGTCCTGAAGTGTTTTCCCTGTTTTCTTCTAAGAGTTTTATTGTTTTGAATCTTACATTTAAGTCTTTAATCCACTTTGAGTTGATTTTTGTTTATGGTGAGAGGTATGAATTTAGTTTCATTTTCTGTATACATTCGGTTTTCCTAGACCATTTATTGAAGAGACTCCCCAATGTATGTTCTTGGAACCCTCATCAAAAATCAGTTGGCTGTAAATATGTAGATTTATTTCTGGGTTCTGTATTCGATTCCACTGGTCTCTGTGTCTGTTTTTGTACCAGTACCATGCGATCTTAGTTACCATAGCCTTGTAATATATTGAGTTTCAAGTAGCGTGGTGTCTCCAGTTTTGTCCTTTTTGCTCAGGATTGCTTTGGCTATTTGGGCTCTTTTAGTTTCCACACAAATTTTAGGATTATTTTTTCTATTTCTGTAAAAAATCTCATTGGTATTTTGATAGAGATTACATTGAATCTGTAGATCACAAGGGGCAGTATGGTCATTTGAAGGATATTAACTCTACTGATCCATGAGCATGGAGTATCTTTCCCTTCGTGTTGTTTTTAATTTATTTCAACAGTGTTTTGTAGTTTTTCTTTTAGAAATCTTTCATTTCCTTGTTACATTTATTCCTAGGTATTTTTTATTTTTGTAGCTATTGTAAATGGGATTGCCTTCTTGATTTATTAGTACATTAATTAGTACATTAATTAGCATATAGAAATGATTCTGATTTTTGTATGCTGACTTTGTATTCCGCAACTTCATTGAATTTATCAGGTCTAAGAGTTTTTTGGTTGAATCTTTAGTTTTTTTAATATATAAGATCATATCGTCAGCAAACAGGGACAATTTGACTTATTTTCCAATTTGATTGCCTTTTATTTCTTTCTCTTGCCTGATTGCTCTGGCTAGGACTTCCAGTAATATACTAAATAGGAGTGGGGAAAGTTGTCATCCTCATCTTGTTCTAGTTATTAGGGGAAAGGCTTTCAGGCTTTCTTCATTCAGCATGGTGTTACCTGTGGGTTTATTACATTTGACCTTTATTATGTTGAAGTATGTTCCTCCTATGCCTAGTTTGTTGAGAATTTTTACCATGAAAGGATGATGAATTTTATTAAATGCTTCTTCCATGTCAATTGAGATCATCATATGGTTTTTGTACTTCATTCTGTTGATGTGATGTATATTGTTTATTGATTTGCATGCCTTGAACCATTCTTCCATCCCTGGGATAAATCCCATTTGATAGTGGTATATTATTTTTTTAATGTGCTGTTGGATTTGGTTTGCTAGTATTTTTTTGAGAATTTCTGTACCTATGTTCATCAGGTATATTGGCCTGTAGTTTTCTTTTGTTGTGCCCTTGTCTGGTTTTGGTATCAGGATAATGCTGGCATCATGGAATAAGTTAGGTAGAATTTTCTCCTCTCCAATTTTTTGGAATAGTTTGAGGAGAATTGGAGTTAGTTCTTCTTTGACAGTTTGATAGAATTTGGCAGTGAAACCATTAGGTCCTGTACTTCTGTTGTTGGGAGACTGTTTATTACTTATTAAATCTTATTATTTGTTATTGATCTGTTCAGATTTTTAATTTCTTCCTGATTCAATCTTGGTCAGTTGTATGAGTCCAGGAATTTATCTGTTTCCTCTAGGTTTTCTAATTTTTTAATGTATAGTTGTTCATAATAGTGCCTGATGATCCTTTGTGTATCTGTGATATCAGTTGTAATGTCTTTTTTTTTCATATCTGATTTTGCCTGGGCCTTCTTTCTTTTATTTTTTGGTTAATCCATCAAGTGATTTATTTATTTTGATTATCTTTACAAAACACAAATTTTCATTTCATTTATCCTTTGCATTTTTTCATTTGCCTCTACTTTAATTCTGCTCTGATCTTTATTATTTCTTTCTTTCTACTTATTTGGGGTTTGGTTTGTTCTTGCATTTCTAGTTCTTCAAAGTGCATTTTTAAATTGTCTATTTGAAATCTTTCTACTTTTTTATGTGGGCATTTATTCTATCAGCTTTGTTCTTAGCACTGCTTTTGCTGTATCCCATAGATTTTGATACGTTGTGTTTGAATTTTTGTTTGTTTCTAGAATTGTTTTGATTTAACCGTAATTTCTTCCTTGACCCAGTGGTTGTTCAGGAGCATGTTGTTTAATTTGTATAGTTTACAAAGTTTCTCTTTTTATAGATTTCTAGTTTTATTGTAGTCTGAGAAAATATTTTATGTGGTTTCTATTTTTAAAAGTTCATTGAGACTTGTTTTGGTTCCTAACATATTATTACATTTCCTTTTGATTTTGGCTAGTTTACAGAAAAGTCACATATTTTTATTCATTTTCCTTTTATCCATTTAATTTACTTAATTCTTATATGAATAGATTTTTATTTGATTTTCTTGACTATTTAAAATAGTCAATATATCATCACATAAAAGATGGAGTTAAAAATAATAGAAAATATTTTGAATCTAAAAATTTTTCCTCAGCAATATTGTTTCTGCTTCATGTACTAAATAATAGCATATAATTATATTTAGAGAGATAGTCCATTTGAATTATTATAAATCACTCTTAATCGTGCAAACCAAATAGTGTATCATTCAATTAAGCCTCCTTCTTCAACTCAAAAAATTATTTTTAAGAAGCGATTTCAAACAGGAATATTTGGAGTTTTTGTGTTTAAATATTTTCAGTTGATGCATAGTTTTAATATTACATTTTGTCTAGAAAATGTAGCTAGCATGATTTCTAATTGACAAACTTAACTAAGCTTTTCTTTTTTGATTTACATGCATTTAATTTGTGATAAGTTCCACTGTACATTTGACAAACAGCAAATTACATACTGGATACTACACTAATAATACAGCATTATATTCAGCATTCCATATTCTTATGTTATTGTATCTGATTGCTAGAGATGCACTAAAGTCTCCCTCTATAATCACATTTGTCTATCTTCCATTGGACTTAACCATCTTATGCTTATTTGTATGTTATGGTGTTTGATTTGGGGGCACTTAAAAACACATGATTGTCCGATCTTTCTATGTGAAATTTACTTTATTTTATTAAATTCATCTTGTCCAATGTTAGCCTTATTATTTTTCCTTTCTTTAAGTTTGCCTAAAGTTTGTGGGCCTGAGTCATTTTATTGAATTTTTCTTAAAAGCAAAATATTATTAAATTGTTTTTACCCAATCTGGATACACCATCTGGTTATTTTTTTTCCTTTCAGTAGATGAACTCACCTTATTTTTTAATTAGCTACCATAAATATCAGGTTCCATTTTACCTGATCAAACAAGTTTCAGTGTTTTATTTTTTCTTTTGTCATTCCTTTCTCTTTTGTCATTGTCTTTTTTATTGACAAATAATTTCTTGATTTATTTCTTCTTTTGGAGAAAATATATGTTTATTCAATTTAAACTTATAGCCAAATGGAGTTTATATGGATTCTGCTAGAAACTGATGTAGGTCATGCTTTGAATTCCTTATCATTTCCAGATCTTATAGCCTGACAGGAAGTGGAAGGAACAAACAGTCCCAAAAGAAACTTCCTTCATCGGAAATGTCATTGTTCATTCCATTTGATGTTGCTGTCTTTACTATAATAAACTTTAGCAGTGCCTAATTTTATGCTTGGCCAAATCACACATTTCTGGATGTCGGCGTTTTTCCCAAAGTTCCAAGCAGACAGTAGGCCTAGAAATGACTTCCATTTCTCCCCATACTTTCTTTTGATGCCTTTCTTTGACCCATTCACTCAGGATGTGGCAGACTGAATCAGCCAGCATTATCTTTATTTGCCTTCTAGATAGATAGCTTTTTTGAAGGAGGTGAAATTTAATATTGTTATATTTCCATCCTCTGTGGCTTCCATCAAACTGAATCACACTATTTCAATGGAAATTCCTGAAACTTTGGCCAGGAAGATGTTGGTATCACTAGTCATTTTCTAAAAATGGCTCAGTTGTTTCCTCTTTTACTGGTGTATAAATTATTTCAATATGAACTCAGGTAGATGAGGAACTACATGCAATCTTGAAAATATGTATGTTCCCCAACTTGTGGCTTTGACACAGTTTATATTTCATGTGAAGAAGAAACCACAGTTACTTTGCACAGGAGTTAATTTTAAGAAGCATCTGACCAGTATGTGTATACACTGACATGGAACTCATCTGAGATAGATCTTATATCAGCTCATATAAGCTTAGAATATTAAAACTTTCTATTGCTATTCCCCAGATAACTTGACTTTGTTTTTATATGCCAATAGGCCATATAGTAAGTACTAGTAAGTAATCCTGATTTCAGATACTTTATTAATTTGTTTCTTCCCTTAGTTCAGAAAGGCTCTTTAATTCATACTTCTTGAGTTCTCATATAGGAAACACTTAAAATTATATATGAACCATAGTGGCAAAATTGGAGATTCTCCAGTAGTCTGGCTCACTAGTTCCTCTGAATGATTTACCATAGATCTGCCTTTGCAGTTCATATATTTCCAGGTCATTCAGTGGAATTCTATTGTTAAAAAAAAAAAAAGCCTTCCTACAGACAAACACTCAAACTACTTCAATGTGATAGTTCCTGGCAAGACTGCACATTGAAATTGCCATTTTAAAAAAGAGCAAAGAAGATCTAGGAGTAAATAGGGAAAAAGTCGAAATTAATGGGCTTTATTTTTAATAGTGGGAAGTCTTTGAAACATAAAGGATATGACAATGATTTCTCAAATGTCAATAGATGAAACAGCCCTGAAATGTATATAATAGGAAAAGAAAAGTATTAATGTTAAAATTATGGAAAGATGTTTTTAAAGATTCCAAATGAAAGTGTTTTGACTAGTGGTGTTCTGGTAAATGTTTAAAAAAACAGCTTGAGGAGAAAGAGGAAAAGCCCTGATTCATGAAGTTTGCCAATTTCCATAGTGTAAATATTCCCAACATGATCAATTTCAAGCTATCTTCATGAAGTCACTGAACACAGAGTCAGGAAGAAATGTGTCCAGTGATTCTCATGAGCCGGTGAAAGTCATCTCCAAATGATATGGTTTGGCTCTGTTGCCCTACTCAAATCTCATCTTGAATTGTAATGCCCATGTGTGGAGAGAGGGAGGTGTTTGGATCATGGGGGTAGTTTCCCCCATGTTGTTCTCATGATAGTGAGTGAGTGCTGATGAGATCTGATGGCTTTATAAGTATTTGATAGTTCATCTTTCATATGCACTCTCACCTGCCACCATGTAAGAAATGCTTGCTTCCCCTTCTGCCATGATTGTGCGTTTCCTGAGGCCTCCCTAGCCATGCAGAACTGTGAGTCAATTAAACCTATAAATTACCCAGTCTTGGGCAGTCCTTTATAGCAATATGAAAATGGACTAGTACAGTTAATTAGTACAAAGAGTGGGGTACTGCTAGAAAGATACAGAAAATATGGAAGCAACTTTGGAACTGGGTAATGGGCAGAGGTTGATAGAGTTTGGAGGGCTCAGAAGACAGGAAGATGAGGGAAAAATTCGATCTTCCTAGGATTATTTAATGGTTTTGACCAACATGCTGATAGTGATATGGACAATGAAGTCCAGGCTGAGGTGGTCTGAGATGGAGATGAGGAACTTCTTGGGAAGTGGAGCAAAGGTCACGCTTACTATGCTTTAGCAAAGAGACTAGTGGAATTTTGCCCCTGCCCTAGGGAATCTGTGGAACTTTGAATTTGAGAGAGAGGATCTGAAATAGGAACTTATGTTTAAAAGGGAAGCAGAGCATAAACGTTTGGAAAATTTGCAGCCTGGTGATGCAATAGAAAAGAAAAACCCATTTTCTGAGAATAATTTCAACCTGCTGCAGAAATTTGCATAGGTAATGAGGAGCTGAATGTTAATCACCAAGACAATGGGGAAAATATCTCCATGTCAGAGATCTTGGTGGCAGCCCCTGCAATCACAGGTCTAGAGACCTAGGAGGGAAAAATGGTTTCTTGGGCCTGGCCAAGGGCCACTCTGCTCTTTGCAGACTCAGGACTTGGTGTCCTGTGTCCCAGCTGCTCCAGCTCCAGCTGTGGCTAAAAGGGACCAAAGTACAGCTTAGGCAGTTGCTTCAGAGGGTGCAAGCCCCAAGCCTTGGTGGCTTCTACATGGTGCTGGGTCTGCATGTGCAGAGTCAAGAAGTCAAGAATTGAGGTTTGGGAACCTCCACCTATATTTCAGAGGATTTATAGCAATGCCTGGTTGTCCAGGCAGAAGTCTGCTGCAGGGGTAGGGCCCTCATGGAGAATCTTTGCTAGGGCAATGTAGAAGGGAAATGTGGGGTCAGAGCCCCCACACAGAGTCCCCATTGATCACTGCCTAGTGAAGTTGTGAGAAGAGGGTCACCATCCTGCAGACCCCAAAATGGTAGAACTACTAACAACTTGCACTGTGTGCCTGGAAAAGCCACAGGTATTCAATATCAGCCTGTGAAAGAGCTACCTAAGGCTGTGGAAGCCCATCCCTTGCATCAGCGTGCCCTGTATTTGAGACATGGAGTCAAAAGACATTATTTTGGAGCTTTAAGATTTAATGACTGCCCTACTGGATTTTGGACTTTTATGGGGCCTGTAGGCCCTTTGTTTTGGCCAATTTCACCATTTGGAATGGGAGCATTTATCCAATGCCTGTATCCCCATTATATCTTGAAAGTAACTAACTTGCTTTTGATTTTACAAGTTCATAGGTAGAAGAGACTTGCCTTGTCTCAGGTGAGACTTTGGACTGTGGACTTGTGAGTTAATGCTGAAATGAGTTAAGACTTTGGGGGACCGTTGGGAAGGCATGATTGGTTTTGAACTGTGAAAAGACATGAGATTTGGGAAGGGCCAGGGGCAGAATGATATTGTTTGGCTCTGTGTCCCCACTCAAATCTCATCTCAAATTGTAATCTCCACGTGTCGAGAGGGACCAGTAATACTCACATGTCGAGAAAGGGAGGTGATTGGATTATGGGGGTCATTCCCCCATGCTGTTCACATGATAGTGAGTTCTCATTAGATCTCATGGTTTTATACGTGTTTGACAGTTCCTCCTTCATATGCTCTCTCGCCTGTCACCATATAGGATATACCTGCTTCCCCTTCTGCCATGATTTTAAGTTTCCTGAGGCCTCCCCAGCCATGTGGAACTATGAATCAATTAAACCTCTTTTTTTTTTCTTTTTAACAAATTACCCAGTCTTGTGCAGATTTTTACAGCAGTGCTAAACAGACTAAAACACCAGAAAGCCATTGGGATAATCTTTTTAGCATTTTTAAAAGTGGTTACTAGGCTATATAAGGCTATATAAGACCTAATTGGTAAAGGTAAAGGGTGCCTTGTGCCTGGTGGTATGCACTTTCACATTTAAAGTAATGAATGACGCAATGTGGTAAAATTGAAAATGACTGAGACCATAAAATCAAAAACTCACAGATTTGAATCCCAACATCATAACCTAGTGTATGATTTTAACAAAATTACCTAATCTGTCTTAATTTATTTCATTTATTTATTTTTAATGGACAAAAATTGTATATATATATGGTGTGGAACATGAAATATGTATACATTATGGAATGGCTACATCAAGCTAATTAACATATGTATTACCTCATATAATATTCATTTGTGTTAAGAACTCTTAAAATCTCTCTTAGCAATTTTCAAGTATAGAATATATTGTTATTATCTATTGTCACCATGTTATACAATAGAGCTCTTGAACTTATTCCTCTTATCCAACTCATATTTTTGTAATCTATGACCAACTATCATTCTCCAGCCCCTGGTAACCAACATTCTACTCTGCTCCTTTGAGTTCAATCTTTTTAGATTCCAAATATTAAGACTTCTATTATCCATCTGTAAAATTCTGCAAAATTGGAACTATTCAGCAAACATCTTAAAATGATTAAAAGACAATAAAGATAATAAACATGAATGTATGTGGTATATAAATAGATTAGGAATTATTATTTTTCTTCCAGCTTCTATACTACTTGTTTCCTTCTAGCTGTCCTTACTCAATAGAAAATACTAAATTGAAGTCAGAATATGAATTATAATTAGTAAGGGAATGATATGGCTCTAGTTGTTAATATACCTACATAGCTACTTGAAAATTACTCTTATATAGGAGGGAGAGTTCATGAGAAATGCAGGCACCAAAGGAGGAAGTCAGTACCAACATTCATTTTCCTTTCCATCTTTGACAAAATTTAAAAAGCTATGGGCAATGACACATGGATAATCTTCAGGACCCAATTTTGTCACTTGTTATTTTGTAGCCTCTATGGTTCAGGAAAAGGAAGTCAAGGAATGTGGAAAGGGTATTGAGTGGACCAACCTATGGTATTTGCTACAAAAATACAATTGTGTAAAAGGCAGGAATGATGTGTCATGGGAATTCATGAAAGAAAATAACTTTGGGCTATAATAAACAGGGGTAATTTAAAACCCTGACATTAAAAATAGTGTCTGCAGTGTTTTAATGGATGAAGATGGTCAGATTTAGAACATTGTGGGTGAATCAAATATATATATATATATGAACTGATACAGAAGTAGAAAAGATTAATGTTTAATTAAAAGGTAAGCAGCTTAATATATTCCAAATGCAAAGTAAGCTTATGGTAGTATCAGGAAGTGTACTAGCTTGGTACTAGGTTAGCAAATGAGCCTATGGATTTGTCTTTTATTTGCTATGTAATTACCATATTTGAAGATGCATACATTGTATTGACGGCTTTATTTATGTTTTTATTTAATTCCCAAATGATATTAAAAAGAAAGCATCATGACATTTTTATAGAAGAGGGAACTGATGACCAGTTTACCTTGATGATCTAAGGTTATACAATTTATCATTCAAGAAACATTGAAAGTTTTTGACAAGGGAAGTAACATGATGGAAAGTGTAAGTTCCTGCAGTTATTTGACATTAGCAAATTAAAATTCCTGCCTTACTTTACACTGAAGGCAAATTTAGAAGCTCTTGATTACTATAGATGCCAACAGCTTATTCTTCATATAGCATATGGTAATGTCTTAGTAGCATTCCTTCTAAAAACAAAAGTGACACCCAGCTCCCAGCATTTCACTCATCTCCCTCTTTGCAGCATATCAGTGAAGGGGCTTTTGCCTTTTCTGGTATATAAAACAAAAGTTATCTAGGCAATTATTCAATGCAAGTTTTCATTGAGGGATAAATTAATCCATCTATTCTCATGAAATGCACTAGTTTAGATTCATTTTTCAGTTTCATTTGCAGAGAAGTGAACCTTGAGCAAATTTGAAACATGACAGGAAAATGTGATTAAGGAAAGAACTAAGTTTCCAAACACAATTCTATGCAAGAAGAGGGGCTTAATTGAGTGGCTAAATATCACTCTCTTCGGAGTGTTCTTACTGAAATCTTCAGTAACCTCCAAATTGATAAATCCATAAAACAATCTTCAGCCCTCATCCTGTCTTATCACTTGGCAGCATTTGACCATGACTTACAGAAACTATTTCTTGAAATATTTTTAATTAGTTTCTATAGCAATGCTCTTCTGACTTTTTTTACATTTTAAGCATTCTTTCTGTGTTTTATAGGATTTGTTAGTTTGTTTGTTTTTTGTTTTGGTAGTACTTGGAGGTCAACCGGAAGTGGCAAAAAGCAAATGGGTAAAAGAGTAAAAAATCAAATATTCTTAACCTGATGTAAACATTCTTTACAATCTAGCCCCATGTGCTTTTCCAACTTTACCTCTAGACCAGATTAATTTACCATTCTGATTTTCTCAACTCAGAAGTACTTAACAATCACATTCTCATTAAAATCTACCTAGAGTGTCTGCAGAAATTGCTATTTAATTTACTGGGATTTTACAGCTCTTATTTGTATAAATTTGTAATTGAATTTACTATATGTACGTATAGTTTATGTCTAAAAAATATCTCCCCCACCTTCAGTCTGAATGAGCATAGAACATGCCTTTAATCCTTCTGTACGTAGTGACTAGTGACTAAAATAAGGTTAACAGAATCAGTAAATGCATGTTTAACTAGCAAATGAAAGTTCAATGAACTAATAATACCTGATTTTCTTATTAGTAATACCATCTTGGTCAAGTCTCTAAACTTTTTTGTGTTTTTGTTTACTTACCTGAAAAATTGATATAGTAATTATGGCCCCCCACTTTAAAATCTCAGAATATTTTGGTATCAAAATAAGAATACTGGTTACAAAGGTATTTATAAATGTAAGGTATTATGTATAGAAAAACAGACCAATTTGAATGTTATGAGCTTATAGTTTTACTAAAGTTTCAGATAGCCACACATGCACGTGTGAGTGCACACACAAGATATCCCACAAATAAAATGAAATGTTACTGGATTTCCTATCTTTATTAATTCTTGTATTTATCAATGTGTGGAAAAAGTATCAACTTTGCTGATTTGGTAGCCCCATACTTGAATGCTATCATGCGGGAGACAGATACTCCGTTTGGCAATGCATTTTAAACCATCTTAGTTGACATCATTATTGTTTTCTTAGATTTTAAATTCTTGAAAGATGATAAGTACATCTCTATATAGTGTGCAATATATCATTATACAAAAACAGTCAATACCATGCATCTTTGATAGTGATAATAACTTTCTGAATGGTAATAAACATGATCAGAAGCAATACAAAGTTGATATTCAATTAGAAAAGTCAGGCAACAGTTCTTAACATCCCCATTGCAAAATTCCTACATAGAATGGTATGCATTTTAGCTAGCAAAACACTAAAACAGTCGGGAATACTACACTTGTTGCATTACCGAGTGCTCTGGCATTTTGTCGTTGTTTTGAATATGAACTAACCAACACTTTTGGCAATACTGCAAACTTAAATTTTACAAATGAGATGCATAGCTGAAATGTGACTTTATTGCTGTTGTGAGCAATCTTTTAGATGCCTTTACTCCAAGTGACATAAAGGAAGTTTAAATTTAAGAAGTTAAAGTAGACAAATGGTAAGACTACTGAGATGATGTAACTGTATGGCAAAGTTTTCATCATTTATTGGTTTGCCGATGCCACCTCAGTACTATTGCTCATGTTACTGACGAAGTTATGCTATATAAAGCACAGCTCTATCAAATTCAGGAGAGTCAGTAGAAAAATATTTTTCATCAAAGATGGAATTGACAAGTACAAATTCTGTGGAAACTGATAACCTTCAGAAATGGCACTCTACAATTTTAAGATTTAATAAAAATAAAGAGTTATTGTAATTTATCCTTGGTTGTTTTAATGAATTATACAAACAGTTTAACTTTGGGGATTCTGCACGTACTATTTGCATCTTGTTGAAGAAGCTCTCAGCAAAGAGACTTTGGCTAAGATGTAAAGCAGCCCTCAGAATGAATCATACAACCTGCAAAGAGCTGTGCTAAATACATCCATATATATGACAAAAGCTTCAAGTTTTTTCTAGCATTTACATTATTGATACAAATCAACATAGATACCAGAGAGTTTTAAAAATAATAGGTGCACAAGGGAATGGGCATAAAGGAAGGGTGACAGTGGAGCAGCTTCAGGCCCACTGTTTGGCACAGCAGGGTTGCGTATTTCCTATGTCAATTGAAAAACCTAAAACATACCTCTATTTAAGCCATCCTGCCAAGTACTGCACCAAGAAAGCTACTTGCAAAGTGAGGCATCTCCAGCAGCAGAAAAATCTGGGGAGCAGTAGAAATGATGGAAGATGATGGCTCAAACCGAAATGTCATCCTAGGTGTGCACTTGATCCACAAGAGACCTGCAGTCCTGCCATGCCAAACAGTAGGTGGATAGGCTCCTCCACGGCCCCTCTCTTCTCAGACCCCTGTCCTCTGTTTCCTTAGCCTTGCTTCTCTCAAATTATGCTTTCCCCTGTTTACCCATCCACAGGTATATCTTATCAAGTCTAGAGGCCAAACCCTTGTCCAATGGGAAAGAAGCATAGAGCACAAAATTTATGAAGGCACTCACTCAGGGTTGGGCAAGTGCTTCTTTAACTTTGCACCCTAGACCCCTCATTTGCCTCATCCTAGTCCCAGGTGTTGGAAGTAGAGTATGGTATAGCTGGGTAACTTAGAATCTACTCCTTAAGCTCTGCAGGAATTTGACCATCCTCAACAACTAGCACCTTATTGCTGGTTTAATAAACATATATTGCATACCTGCTCCCCTCTGTCTTCAGCTTTGGCCTAAAATTCCAGGAAATAGAAAAAATACCCTGCAATATCCTATTATATACAGAACAACAGAGAAAGCTTACTCCCAGTTTTTCACTGTGAAACACAGTTCAGTGACTTATCTCATGTGCACACTGTTTTACTTCATTTAAATTATCTCTGCATGTTTAGTATCAGCAATAAGATTACTGGTCAAATTATCAGTAATTTGGGGGGATGCATTGGATACTGCCATGGTTCTATTTAAAATAATTTTACCAATTGTCACTATGAATTTTCATGGTTGTTTTCATTTCCCCACAACCAGACACACATATGGGCATTTGTGTTTTTGGTATACAAATCCCATTGTTATACAATAAGATTTTTTTTTTTGCTTAACTTTGAATATTTTACATATTTATACTGGTTGTTTTATCTGTAGACTTATTTTTAGAGGGCAGTTTTATTTTTCATCTAGTTTGCATGTTTGAATCTTCTGGGATCCTGGAAGAATACTAGTAAATTATCTCATGTTAACTAAATTCTCAGTTTTATTTTCTCTCTTGCCTTTTTTTAAAAAAGGCTTTGGATATCATCATTATGCTATGCCTTTTTTAAAAATAATTTTTCTGCTTATTTTCACATTCATACATATGCTGAAATTCAGCAAGTTGTATAAAGAATTGAAATTGGAATATGTGAATTATTTATTAATGAACAAACTTTATAACTGACCAGTATCTCCATCATGCCAATATATAAGGTTATAAAGTTTTAAAATGCATATAAGATAAAAGAATATTAGCTAATAGGGGCAAAAACATTTCTATATATTATAAATTTCCCAAAATGAAACTCAATATTAATTAGTTTTTCAACCAAAAATTTATGATTACTGTTGACAAACTACAAACTATTTAAGTACAATGAGAAAAAAGTTAAATAGTAAATGAGAACAATTTAACTCTTAAAATTATTGGGCCAGTTTTCAAGGTTATTACAATGCTATATATAAGTTAATTCTTAATTTTAATATTCTGCTTTTTATATTTCTGTGTAGATATGTGAATTTCTTTTGGAGAAATAGAAACACTTTAACCCAACTTCAAAAGATAATAATAATGAACAAGTCTAAATCCTAAAACATGATGAGCAAAGATAAAAGAACAGATATGAGTAAAGATTCCAATAACTTGGTTTCCTGGAATCATGACCCATTTTTTTTTTTTTTTTTTTGAGACAGAGTCTCGCTCTGTCGCCCAGGCTGGAGTGCAGTGGCAGGATCTCGGCTCACTGCAAGCTCCGCCTCCCGGGTTCACGCCATTCTCCTGCCTCAGCCTCCCAAGTAGCTGGGACTACAGGCGCCCGCCACTACGCCCGGCTAATTTTTTGTATTTTTAGTAGAGACGGGGTTTCACCGTTTTAGCCGGGATGGTCTCGATCTCCTGACCTCGTGATCCGCCCGCCTCGGCCTCCCAAAGTGCTGGGATTACAGGCGTGAGCCACCGCGCCCGGCTCATGACCCATTTTAACATGATTTATGCCCAATATGACATCAAGATGTCAAGAAATATGAAACAGGATAGTTACATACCATCAAAGATGTAGTCATTTGGATATATGCTAAAAAGTTTTAGAATAATTATTCAATAGCACTTCATAAAATATCTTCACATTCTTTAAATTTAAAAGGTAAATTGTAATAAATTTGAGAGTTGATATGCTCTCAAATACTTGAGAGTATATATTAAAATTAATTTAATAAATTTATTATGATTAGCATTACCAGTTTTCTTTCTTAATGGGGAAGGAATAAACATAAAATAAAGTGGCTAAGATTTACAGATTCATGTAACAATGGCATTTATAACCTTATTTATGTTTTGTAAAGTTCTGCATGACTATTAACTCAGGTAAATCAAATTAAAATTTATCTTGAGTGGTACTAAATATGACTAAATCAAAAGTCAGTCAGTAAGTATTCTTGAATATGTCAAATCAACTATCTTTCAACTGAAGGTAATAATTGATTTTCTCACTGATTTGGACAACAAATAATAGAATTGCCAATGAATAAACCAACCCTTTGGTAATATTTGATATTTCATACCAGTTGTGCTTTATTCAAGATTTTACTTCTACCTAAAAATACTAAATAATGAATGATGTTTATTTTTGGTGCACAGAGATTGTTCAAATTAAATTAAATACGTTGTTTAGATTCTAAGATCCATAAGTTTTTCTGCACTGTTTTTTAATTGAAAGCCCCTGTAAAGAATTTCAGAAACCCATAAGTTATATTTTTGTATGAATCTTTTATTTTCCAAAGTACTTCCAAGTACCTTATCTGCATTGGTACTCATATCTACTCTATGAAATAGAAAAGGCCAGCATCATCTGTTTGCTTTTGTTTTTGTCTTCTCATGAGAAACTGAGCCTATCTTATACATCCAGTCTTCACCTTATGATACCCTACTTTTAATCCCACAAAACATAGAAAGTAGCATGCCATTAGCTTATTTTATATTAAAATGTTCGTGATGTTGATATTGTGATGTCCCTTACTTTCTAGATATATTTCCATCATCCCTCAAATCCCAAAATATTAGGGATTGACTTTTTAGTTATTTGATAACACTGTTCATGCTCCCTGGTGTCAGGGATGATAGTGTCATAAGGAGCTTGTCAGCGAAACCACTGTCCCAAATGTCATAGTTAAGTTTAATTCCAATTATCTAATTTATTCTCTAATCAAATATCTAGTAGATAGTAATAAACGTTAATTACAAAAGGAATAAGCCAAATATTCCCCTTTAGTATGCATTTTATAATGCAACTATTACAGCTGATCTTCATCTCCCCCCAAAAAAGACGTTTTTTCTTTTATTGACTTCTAAACCGGATATTTTATTTCAAAAGTGGTTAGTGGTCAGAGAGGGGGAAAGAAAGGTAACAATTGTTTGAGCAGATCAGCCAGGGTATATTACGGCTGGGAAAATTTCAGGAGAAGAGACAAGAAATGATTTGTTTTATTCTTTGCTTTTTTAAGGAGGAGTTTGGGAGAGAATGAATTGGACTGTGAAACTTTCATGAACTTCTCAAAAGAACAGGAACATGAGGAGACGAAATGGTGATGAAAACCCACAATTCAATCTACCACAGTATGGTAAGCATTCCCAGCTTTAAACCATGAAGAAAAATAAATTGACAATTAGTGAAAAAAAAAATGTGGTAAATCAAAGAACGTAATGCAAAATGGACACTGGAGGGATGAAAGTCCATATGACTCCTGCTTCCAGGAAAGGCCAGAGCCACTGATCATTGGTTCACTAATGGCCAATAGTGTTTCAAGGTGAAAGGAAGGATGGGTCCAGGAGCCTATTGGAGGAAAATAGGGTGGAGACTTGGAGATGGTGTTAAGAGAACATTTGGGTGAGTGAACATAAATCAAAGAAAAAATAAATTAAGAAAAATGCTTATAGAAAGTGAAAGGTAGACATTAAATACTAAATCAGATAAAAACCTGCAGATTTTATATTTAACCATCTTCTCAATTATAATAATGATTTGGAAAATTTAATGTTTTCTTTTATATAATTTGGCAGGGTGATAACTATCCTCAGTGGGATAACAGACTAGTTTTAACTCTTACATCTCCATGTTTCAGAGTTTATTTGAGGCAAAGTATGATTTTTAAGAACAGCTACTGCTTATTTTGCTCAGGTTGCTTATTGCCCAGCCCAGTCTGAGGGGACCATTCATAGCTTATCCATGTGATACACAACCTGCACAAGCCATACGTGTTGCCTCTGATTATATGTGTACATAAGAAATGAAACAACATAATAAATGTTACTCTTGGGAACAGCAATGGATTAAGTGCCCTAATATCTTTATTCAGGTCACTGATCTGCTGGCTCCTAGCCGGATAATATTATTCATATCAATTAGCCTCTCTGAATCCAGAGTGCTTGCTAGGAAAATGGTGACAATAATATTTACCTTCCCAATCTTACACAGTTGTCTGAGTTAGTCAAAGAATGTTTTGTAAAATTTTAAGTTTTATATAAATGCACATTATTATTTAGAAGATTAATGCAACCATAGGATAGTCACTTGTCATATATATGGATTTTAATATTTTTAAGAGACAGCATGACATATATCATGTAAGCTACTGTCACAAAGCTAAAAGTATATATTTAATAAATGATTTTTTAATTAAATGGATGGCAGGAATGTACTGTCTATTGCAAATTTTGTAACAGTTTATATTAATTTATAATTCTATACATTAGATTTTGAAAATCTCAATGGTACCCATTCTCCTTAGTATTATTTTTTAAAAGTTTTTATTTTCCAAGTATACTGATTCTCAGTTATGATGGAGAATATCAACAGTTACTGATTCAAGATGCTCTTGCCCCTGCAAAGTCTACTTCGTAGTTCATCTTCCTTTTCAAGACCTCTAGATGTTGGAACACTTTAGGAATACATCTTCAGCTCTCTTCCCTTCTTTATCCATATCTCCACTCAGGTTTTCTCAACTGGTCCCATATTTTTTTTTTTTTTTTGAGACACGGTCTCATGCTTTTACCCAGGCTGGGCTGCAGTGGCACAGTCACAGCTCATTGCAGCTTCCACCTCCCAGGATCAAGTGATCCTCCCACCTCAGCCTCCCTAGTAGCTGGGACTACAGGCATCAGGCGTGCACCACCATGCCCGGCCAAGGCTGGTCTTGAACTCCTGAGCTCTAGTGATCCATCCTCCTCAGCCTCCCAAAGTGCTGGGATTACAGGCTTTAAAAAAAACAAAAACAGGCCAGGCACAGTGGTTCACGCCTGTAACTTCAGCACTTTTGGGAGGCCGATGCGGGCGGATCACGAGTTCAAGAGATGGAGACCATCCTGGCTAACATGGTGAAACCCTGTCTCTACTAAAAATACAAAAATTAGCTGGGCATGGTGGCGCGCCTGTAGTCCCAGCTACTCGGGAGGCTGAGGCAGGAGAATCGCTTGAACCCGGGAGGCGGAGTTTGCAGTGAGCCAAGATCGCACCAGCCTGGCGACAGGGTGAGACTCCGCCTAAAAAAAAAAAAAAGCTAACATATGCAGAAGTCTCCCAGATCTTTATCCCAGCCCTGAATCCCCTATGATTTCTTACTTAGATATCAAAGAGCTATAAATCTCTCCCTGTATGTCTACTCAATGATTCAAAATAGATATGTACTAAATTAACTTTTTGATGTTCCATCTAAACTTGTTCCTCCACAAGTCTTTCCTATTATAGTCCTACTATACCCTTGGTTGCTTAGACCAAAAATGTGGGGGTCTTACCTTTGTCCAACCCATCAGCAAGTCCTATGCATCCTACTCCAATACATATCCCTAATGATGCCCTTTAAAATGCGACATGATTGGATCCCTGGCCAGTATTTCAAGCTTGTTTATGTAAAACAGGCCTTTTTACTTATCACTCTTCATAGTGCATTATCCCTCCTATAAATTCTATTTCTCTGTTAATTTATGTTTCTCTCTCTATTAGGAAAACATTTTTTTCCGTTTTATTCTCAAGTCAGTATAGTGGACTGGAATAGTGCCTAGCACAATTACTGTAAGCACTCAATAAACCTTGTGAATGAAAGAATGAATTGATACCCATAATATGAATCCCTGAATGAAACAGACCTAGAATTGATGGGAATGAGATTGACAGCTGCACATAACCATCAGTGTCCTGGACTGGGACATGTGTATAGGTGTGCTTTCATAAGCACATTATTTCTTTACGAAATACATTCTTGGAATTACTTTTGACTTCAAAGAGTCAAAAATTACCAAATTAATTCAAATAAATAATAAAATTCTGTTTTCAACTCAAGATAATTCTATAAGTATGAAAGCTCCCAAAACAAGGCAAAAGAAAATGTTTTTGTTTCCATTTTGAATTTTTCATTTTTCCAGCCACCCCTCTCTAGCTTCTGAATTTTTACACTGACGAACAGATTTTGTGTCTTTCTTCCCATAGCTAAAAATGATATTCAGACTTGATAATAGTGATTATAAGAAGTATTATTATGCCAATTATTTCAAATTGTGCAATGGTCAAAGCACATAAAAATATGTCATAGCAATAAATCTGTTTTCCTACTCTTTGTAATGTCTTATTTGCCTTAACAACTTTTCAGACAACAGCTATAATAAATGGACTCTCAAGTATGATTTGCATCTCTCCCATCACAAGAGTAGTGTCTGTTTCAGAACTCACAGTTGTGTATGATATATTTAAATGATCCCAAATAATCGTCCTCAGAGCTGTCCTGACCTTACCGATAATGAGTTTTATAGCCCTTTATATTGTAGTTTGCCTGAGCCTGAAATATATTAATTACCACAAATATATGAAATGTGTGGTTGTAAAATCCCTGACTTCTCTCTCCTAAGTCTAATAATCACTAAAATATGTACTATTGCTTTCATGTCATATTTACCTGGTGCTTGTTTCCCCTTCTATATTCTGTATGTTGTTTGATGGTTCTTTCTCCAGTCTCTCATGCCAGAAGAGTCATTCCTTAATGCCTGGCTCTCCTTCATTTCATATATCCAATTGGTCACTATATCTTCTCAATTCATCATACAAAATATTTCTGGGATTTATGCTGTTTTCATTAGTACCATGGCTTCCTTTAAAAATTGACCCATTTTAGTCTCAGAGTCGCACTCGCCTGTCTTCTAACGCTACCATCACTTTCCCATAAAACCATAGAGGAATTAACTTAGAATCATGTCACAAAGCCTTCTCCCTGAAAGCAAAATGGTTGTCTTGCTGCTATATACCCAATGACAGAGGTACCACTTGAGACAGGAGATTCTACAGAAAGAGTGTAAGTTGTGATACCAGACAGACAGGCAGGGTTTTAGATCCCATTGTAGGGACATACCACCACCTCTATCAGTGGTGTAATACTGGATAAGTTCACCTCTCTGGAACTTAGTTTAACTATGTTTTACTTTGAAATAATAATTCATATTTCATAGGATTGTTGTGAAGACTAAATAAGATCATGTGTATTAAAAAATATTTGCTGTAATGTATTGAATGCTCACTAGAGGATAATTTCCTTCTTGCATTCTCCTACCACTTCTAGGCACCATTGATGGTACCAGAACCTGTCTGCAGAAACTCTGCATGCTTTCCTAGTTCTCCTGTCCTGCTATCATTTGGGGACCAAGGATATCTTTATTTCTCAAACAGTATTAGAGAACCTGGGTGAGACCATATTCTGTCTCAGGGAACCTGTTTGATCAATGCTTCTGCAAATCCTCTTTCTATAACAGCTGGAAACTGTTTCTCTTCATGCTATTTTCTTGCTCATACATCAATGATTGATTTCCCCTAAGTTACAAGCAAAAATAAATATTTCATAGCTTTTTCTACTCTACCCTTGCATATTTTTATGAAATCAGCTCTGCCACTCGTTCTTTTTACCTGCTTGATTTTCTCATAAAGTCCATGTCTTTTTAATCCTCTGTACTTTCCATAGCCAGCCTCTCCAGTTAGAATGCTTTTCCCTGCTTATACATCCCGTAAACGCCCATTATTCTCAGATCAGCTTCTCTATAAAGCATTGCCAACCTTTGCTTCATCTCAGAAAGTAGGTGTTTTCCAGCTTAGTGTTCCTATCCCTGCAGTGCACTTCGATAACGTCTCTTTAAGCCTGTATCTTGCCATATTGGTACTATTTGTCTTACCTACTACCGTGTAAATTCCTTGAATGGAGAACAGTACCACAGCACCTAGAATGTGCTTGAAAGTCCACAAATAGTAGATAATGGAAGGTGTTGCTATCATTATTATTATTATTATTTTGGGGACAGGGTCTCACTCTGTCACCCAGGCTGGAGTGCAGTGGTGTGCTCTTGGATCACTGCAACCTCTGCCTCCTGGTCTCAATAGATCCTCCCACCTCAGCCTCCCAAGTAGCTGGGACTACAAGCATGGGCCACCATGCCCGGCTAATTTGTGTATTTTTTGTAGAGACAGGCTTTCGCCATGTTGCCCAGGCTGGTCTCAAACTCCTGAGCTCAAGTCATCTGCCAGCTTCAGCCTCCCAAAGTGTGGGAATTACAGGTTTGAGCCACCACTATCATTATTTTCTTTCTTTCTTTTTTTTTTTTTTACTTTAAGTCCCAGGATACATGTGCAGAACATGCAGGTTCATTACATAGGTATATGTGTGCCATGGTGATTTCCTGCACCTATTGACCCATCCTCTAAGTTTCCTCCCCTCTCCCCGCAACCCCCAACAGGCCCTGGTATGTGTTATTCCCCTCCCTGTGTCCATGTGTTGTCATTGTTCAGCTCCCACTTATACTATAATTATTTTCATTGCCCTTATCAACTTAATTTTTTTTCCTTTCCCAGGCAGTCACATTCTTATCTGAATTTTCTTTGTCAAACTGTGCTACCATTTTGTATCCTGTGTCATAAACAAGTGTAATTTTTATGCAAGCACTATTTTTATATAATTCTAAACACCAAGACTTTAAACCTAGAAGAAAACTGCAGTATGTATGCTTCTCTCATTTGCATGAAAATAGCATTCTGTAATTGAGATTTCAAAGTTGAGAAATTCTAAAGCCTTTATTTAAAAAATCCTTTGAAAAATTAATCATATTTTTCCAGTTTTGTAAATAAATGAATTGGAAAGCAATGAAGCAAAATTTAACAACCTTCAAAATACACATTCACATTCTATTCGTAAGTTCTTTTATATTGCAAGTTGGTGCCAAAAAACATAGCCCTATCATGATGGTCCTGAGAGAAAACCTCGTTGATTGGAAAAGGGTGAGGTGATCTAGGAATAACTGGCATTCAGCTGTTGTATCATAGTTTCAGTACAACTTGGAAAAATGGCACCACACATTCACAGGAACTGTACCCTTCTCTCCTGGGGTAACTTAATGAACTTCTCTGGCTACCTGCACAAGATCTTCATCACTCAGTTAAGGGCCAGAGAGAGCAGAATATTTAAATATGTAGCAAGTAAGCCTACTCTATGGTAGATCTACACTAGGTTTGAAGAGTTCTATAGTTCCATCTGGGTAGGGGAGGGTAATTGTACTGTTCTCTCCCATATCTGTGATGTGTTTATATTATTTATTTTGTTATAAGATCGTTTTATAAATTCTGTTCCATTTCTCAAGAAGTGTGGTAATTTATAGCATGTCTCTGCATTCTTCAGTTGGTAGATGAGAACTTTCAAAAACCCACTTTGTAACTGACAAAATGAGGAACTTATATTTCCTGGCATAACATGAACTGGGAGTGTCATTCACGTTCGATTAGTTAAGCACTAAAAAAATTAGGCTTATGTTTTTAGCCTCTTTTTCTTACTTTAAAAGGAATTTTTCTAACAAATACAGTTTAAGTGTAAATACAACTCTTAATTGTCCACAACAACAGGGAATGGAAAATTGGGATCTACAGATAATTCAAAATTTTACTTTAAAGAGCACATTCAACCTTTGTTCCCAATGAGCTCTTAACATTGCTTAGAGCTAAGAATTAATTTGTGTGGATTTTATCACTTTTTATTTGACATCTCACCCAAGGAAGAATTGCTGATCAGCAGTGAATTAGGCACTGAGTAGAGTAGCCAGAAAGAGTGAAATCAGAAACCTGAGCACTTGAATCAACCACAAATTTCATATCTAACCCTTGAACATTTTAAATGACATATATCTTCATTTTAGTTTTATAATAGCAATAGACATTCTAAGACAGAACTAAATACAAAACATTTTTTGAGTGCATAGATTTTCTGAAAAAGATCACCTGTTCTATTGTTACTTGAAAATGTAGATTAATATATTTAATTCAACCTTCTGGACGAAACAGTGCTAGAACTATGTCATACTTTACCAAATCCATCCCTTCCCAATAACAAAACAAAGAAATGTTTCCCTTTCCTTCCTGGATTCTTCAGGTGCTTTTCATCAACAGAAAACCACTTGCTGACATGTGGTTCATTTCTAGGGTGGACAAGTAATTTTTAAAAATTTATTGTGGCAAAGTCAGCATACCAAAAAAAAAAAAAGTTAAAAAAAAAAGATCTGTCCTGTGCTTTATTTGTGAGGCTGTGAAGGAGACTTCTATGGCTGTTGCTGTGTTGGGTTATCTTTATTTTACCTCCTGGTTGAGTGATGAGCCTTTTCAAAGAGAAAAGAACCAAAGACATGTCCTTCTGCCTGTTTGCTGCACCTCAGTTTGGTCTCCAGACTCTGATATTGTTGGGTGGCTTCATGAAAATTATCCACCAATTTCTTTAAAAAATCAGTTTCATTTATTATCATTTAAATATAAGTAATATTGTACATTTGTATGTAACAAGCAGAATCTGAAATCCAGTATTGAGACTGTCAAATGAAGCATATGCGATATGCACAATGTGCCTAAAAAGCTGTGATCTTCCTTAAAACATTGAAATCCAAGTCCTCCAAATTTGGCAGAAGAGAAAGTCTCCCCATTCATGAGAAGGCAGTCGAACCACTAACCTTCACGGTCATTCCTCTGGGATTCCCCCCTTCCTTAGGGATCTCTCTGACTGCATTTGCACATTCACACTGTCCTGAGGGACTTAAGGAGCTTTTCATCTATGTTTGCACACTTGTGTTCCACTCACCAAACATGCTATTAACTATTCTTTTTTGGTTCAAGTGAACCAGCCACTCATGCAAAACACACTTTTATGCTCATGGAGATAATATATAGGTCTTCCTTTAGAAAAGGAAATTTGCAAAAATAATGATGTTACTTAATAAAATAAAAAACATAATTTATTCTTGTAATTTACCCTGTTATGTAATCAAAGGTATATACAATTTGTAAGTACATCATAGATTACTGATATGCTCAATTAGAGCCAGTAATTAATATTTGCAACAGAAGCATGAATATGATCTTTAAAAACTGACTAATCACTTTTGCTTGTGTAAAATTTTTTATCCTTAAATAGTCTTTAGTGTGATGTATACAATAGTATTTCCCTAATTTAAGCATTTTCTAGTCTTATTTACAAAATAAATTGAATCCTATTATTTCATTTGAAATGAATTTTTATTTTGAAAATAATTTGGTAGAACATAAAAACAAAATCTTCTTGGGTAGTTAAACATTTAATGTTGACACAGTCTTTTTGTGACATACTTGCTTCACCTGGATATGATTCTAGAGAGTCTATGAGCCCCTTGAAATTGTGTGCAAAAATATATGTGTCCTGGTATTATATCATTCTGGTGTAAAAGGTAGAACAGTTTTCCTCAGAACCATGACATAAAATGAAATCTATGCATTGTGTGTAAATTCCTCCAAGCAGTATATTTTTAATACTGAAAAAATACTCATGTGTGTGGACTCACTGAAGTAAATGAAGTAGTGGTAAGTCCATCAGCATATGCACACTGATATATTTTCAGAATAATAGGAATATTCTTGGTCATGTCATAAAACTATGTATTATAATGATATAACTTCATTATTCACTATCTCATTTTCCTATGCTCTGGTTTATCATCATGAAGACATTAATTTCTCATGATTTCTCGTGCTATCTATGGAAATAATCCTTTATTGAAAAAATAAGTATCTTGAAATTAGTGGCAGCAAAATGGATTTGAGAAGATCTCATTAAAGTGTATTTAGCAACATCTCACTGAATCTTTATATTTTTACACACAGAAAAATATTTTGGATGTTTTAGAAAAAAAATGTGTAGAATTAGAGAGCTCTAACTGTGAACACCAACATTGTTTCGCCACCTGTATCTTGCATTAAGAGACAGATGGACTTGCGCCAGAGATTTAAAGTCAAATAAAGAAGTTCCTGGGTGAAAATCAGTATTACTGAAAAATATTTTACAATGAGTTCTTTCTCTAAGCAATGTTTATGGCACATGTATTGATATTTGAAGTAGAAATTAGTTTTAAGTAAATATGACTTATAAATAATATTACGTGGAGTTCCATGAAAGAAGGGACTGTGTCCTATTCAGTGCAATATCCTCTGAGTCTGACACTGAATTAACAGTTGATAAATGAAAAAATAATCAATGAATCAATCTATGGATGTGGTAAATTCATAGCTATTTTTCTGGCTCCTGGTAGTGTGGGGTCTAAGTATACCCTAAATAACTCTTGAAATATTCTTATATATATGAGAAGAATTTGCTAATATGATGGACAAACATCATGCTCCAATGAAGTAATAATCTAATCAAGGTGAACAAAATATTTTGGTCTACAAAATAAATAACAATGCAAATATTAGTAACTAACTTTAGTAGGGTCTTTGTACTTTAAAAGATATTAAGAAATTATTATTATTATTATTATTATTATTATTATTATTATTATTATTATTTTGAGATGGAGTCTCACTCTGTCGCCCAGGCTGAAGTGCAGTGGCGCCATCTCGGCTCACCGCAAGCTCAGCCTCCCGGCTTCACGCCATTCTCCTACCTCAGCCTCCTGAGTAGCTGGGATTACAGGCGCCGGCCACCACGCCCGGCTAATTTTTTGTATTTTTAGTAGAGACGGGGTTTCACCTTGTTAGCCAGGATGGTCTCGATTTCCTGACCTCGTGATCTGCCTGCCTCAGCCTCCCAAAGTGCTGGGATTACAGGCGTGAGCCACTGCGCCCGGCCCACAGATACAAATTATTTCTATCCAGAAGAAAAACAAACTTCAGTGCTATAGATTATTATCCCAGAAATCTTATACTAATATTATCTCAAAAGGCCTATAAATATTCAGATCTTCAAAATGCCCTTTGATTCAGCCTTGCCGTCTGATTGGTTTACTCATTAATCAAGAAATTGAATAATATCTTTGACACATGTTTATTTTATATTTTTATGAGCCACATTGCTAACTTTTGGAAACTTAATGGATTATTGTAATCTTCACAACTGCATGAAGTAGGTACTAAAATCATCGCCATGCACTATTATTACTATTAACAGTACGATAGGTACTAGTGTCATCCCCATAAGGAAACAGAATTAGTAAGATTAAATTACTTATCACACAGGTGGTAAGAATTTCAAGCTCTCTAATGCCAAGAGCCTGTGTTCATAACCACTATACTGTGCCACCTGCCTAGAAGCTAAAAGAGAACTCGTATTGAGTAACTAAAGCTAAAATCCGTATCTTCCATGTGTCTTGAAAGTATTGTCAAAGGCAAAGAGAATTTATAAAAGTACTTCGTCACTAAATTAATGTGATAGTAGAAATAATTAATTATATGTAATGTATAATATGTATTATACACACAAAACACACACATAAGAATATCCCTTCTTTTTTTTTTTTTTTTTTTCTTTTTTTTTGAGATGGAGTCTCGCTCTGTCGCCCAGGCTGGAGTGCAGTGGCGCGATCTCGGCTCACTGCAACCTCTTCCTCCCGGGTTGAAGCAATTCTCTTGCCTCAGCCTCCCGAGTAGCTGGGACTACAGGCGCACGCCGCCACACCCGGCTAATTTTTTGTATTTTAGTAGAGACGGGGTTTCACCCTGTTGCCCAGGCTGGTCGCAAACTCCTGAACTCAGGCAGTCCGCCCACCTCAGCCTCCCAAAGTGCAGGGATTACAGGCGTGAGCCACCGCGCCCAGCCAGAATACCCCTTCTTGTAAGAATTGTTCATCAGAGTAACTAGTTCACAAATGAATTCGTGAATACAGACCAAAACTTTGGCCTCTTGGAGAGAATCAAGCTGTGTCATTGTCAGACAGCCACAGAGTTTCTTTCACATTTCACATTATCAAGATTACATATTACTAACAAAATAATGTTTGAAAGTTATATTTGAGTTATTTGAAACTTTTATCAAGAGTTCCAGGAATGAAAAGCCTCTGGATAGTAAGTAGATAGATAGAGAAAATATTTGCCAAGTTTTGTTCCGTCTGTTGTTTTGTTTGCTTTTGTATTCAGACTGGTGTAACAGGACTTACGTGTCTGGAAATCACCTTTTCCTTACTCAAAGGTTCTTTAAGGTCTGAGGGTCTTAACAACACCTTTCTCCAGCTGTCAAGGAAAAGCTACATATGAGAGATTTTTGCCTCTTGTTTAGAATTTTTAAGCTGCAAAGGATAACACTCTGTTTTTCTCAGCAGTGTTTTCTTCTGGCCCCAAATCTGCTTGCAATATTGTCATTGTTTCCACTGGCAGACTCTGCTTCCTTTGGGAGGTGTTTCTAGATAAAGGCATATAGGGTGAAGAGACTTCTGCTTCCCTTAAGTATCCAGAATGTCTCCAAACTGGAACTAGGGAAATATAAAAATTAAAAACCTTAACTATTTTTCTTTTAAAGCCATTTCCCAAGTGTTGTCCTTGAGCTTGCTATATCAAAATAACTTAATCTACTTGTTTAAAAAAATGCAGATTTCTTGGCCTCATTCCTGACCTTTTGGGTCAGAACCTGTGAGCTGGAACCAGGGAAACAGTATACTGTTTCAACAAGGAACTCAGTTGACCCCATACCGTATTTATAAAGCACTTAAAAAAATAGGGACAGGGTCTTGCTGTATTGCCCAGCTGGAGTGTAGTGGCATGATTGTAGCTAGCTGCAGCCTCAAATTCCTGGGCTCAAGGGATCCTGCTGACTCAGCCTCCCAAGTAGCTACCACACCTGGCTAATTTTTTTAAAATTTTATGTAGAGCTAGGGTTTCACTATATTGCCTAGGCTGGTCTCAAACTCCTGGCCTCAAGCAGTCCTCCCACCCTCAAGCAATCCTCCTAGCTTGGCCTCCCAAACTGCTGGGTTTACAGGCATAAGCCACCACGTGCCCGGCCTATAAAGCCCTTTTTTTTTAAGTCCTTCTTATATTTTTACGTAATTGAGACTTGCACGAAGATTCTTAGCTTTTTACTCTGAAAAAGTATTGACTTCCATTTTTAATAACTTTGTAATCAGAGCTTACAAGTTCACTTCTGATTGTCTTTAAAGAAAAATTATCTTGTTGTATCTTCAAAAATATATAGATTGGCTGCTCAACTCAGGTGCACATTTTGTGTTATACATGGCAAGAAACTACTTAATAGGGTGAGTATTCCTAACTGTTGCAAACTATCTGATAGTACTGTTTGTAATTTATTTCAGTGGTTGTATTTCTAGGACAGGGATGATATATTTGGATATAAAACCCAAGTTGGATTCCTCTAATCACTATACTATACATGCAATGTGATTGGATCTCTAATTCAGAATTGTAAGATACTGTGTGTGTATTCATATATGTATATATACACATAAGGTATGCATAATACATGTATATGTGTATGTTTATGTATGTGTGTATATGTGTATATATGCGCACAAATACTCATATAAATACTCATATAAATGTGAATATATACATATATTAAAAATGAAAACAATTTGGGACTTAAAAAGCAGATGTTATTTTAGGAAAGACTTAGTTCTTTTTTTTTTTCCCAAGCTATTTCCCATTAGTCTGTTTTCACTTGTTTGTTTAGGCCTGGGAAAGTCAACGTGAGGTGGCGCTTAAGAACTTCAAGGTCTAGATCATACAAATCCATGTCTTTTGATCCCTAATGCCTAGTCCAGTTATAAACACACTTTGAACAGTGATGAATGGATATATGAATGAATGAAAAACAATAGCTTAGACCAGAAGTCTGCAAAGTATAACCTGCAGGACCAAATCCATCCTGCTGCCTATTTTTCTATATCCCTGGTGCTAAGAAGGGTTTTTACATTTCAAAATTGTTTTAAAAATCAAAAGGTTGGTAATATTTTATGACACATAAAAATTATAGGAAATTCAAATTTCAGTGTCCATGAATAAAGTTTTACTAGAAAACAGCCATGCTCATTTGTTTAGGTATTTTGTGTGGTGGCTTTTATGCTGCAATGGTAGAGTTAAGTAGTTGCAACAGAGACCATATGGCCTGCAAAGTTGAAAATATTTAATATCTGACCCTTTACAGAAAGTCTATGGATGCCTCAGTTTAGAAAGATTAAGTGTCTTGCCCAGAGAGCTACAAAATGTAAATTATGTATCTGGAATTATCGATAGGTGTTTGAACTCCAAATTCAATGCCATTTTCTCCGTACTTTTCTAAGCCTAGAAAATTGATTTTCGTTCTGGACCAAACATCTTGATTCCTGCTCCAGAGGTTCTTGGTGTTAGGCAGAACTGGATTTGAATCGTAACTCTGCTCAGGGCTGGCTACATAACTTGTGGGGCTCAAGGCAAAAGGAAAATGCCTGGCAATGGCAAAGGACCCTTACCCCCAAGACCCCCCCGCAAACCCAACCCCACCCCCAGGGCAGACAGGATCTAAATATGGAGATGGCATATAAATACAAAACTAAAATGACTAAGAATCTCAAGACAGCAACCACAGAGCATTAAACCCCAATCGGGGGACTTTTCTGAGCCTGGTCAAAATGGTTATACTTCGATGAAGCCAGATTACAACATAATGAAATATGATGCCGTCACAAGTTAAAGAATCTATCTGAACCCCTATTTTCATAGTGATGCCATGTAGTTGATGATATCTGTCTCAAAAACTTTAGAAGTCACAATAGACCATGCATATAAAGCAGTTAGCAATGTTCTTGGCTGATTATTTTTCAATTTCCTGTACTTCCTTCTGGTATTAAATCAAGAAGTAGCATTCCTATCGTAAAAGACTAAATGTCATTTCCGTATTTTTGAGACCAAATTCCTTTTTAGCATGAACTTCATCAATGGTTGGATCATACATTATCCTAAAGAGATGTCCAAATTACAGATAACTTGAGCCATTATTTAGAGCCATTTTTGTTCTTTGTGAATAAGGCTTTCCCTGGGCACTTATCAGCTGTCTGTACCCTCTGGGTCTGCACATTATAAAGCAAATGAGGAACTTTTGTTGGGGCATTTTCAGACCCTTGCATTAGCTGTAGTGTGCCAGTGCAAAGGACCCTAACTTGATAATTTTATGGTCACAAGAACTAAGCCTACACCAAACCAACACTAAAACTACACTAAACCTATAATAATTCTAGATATTATTCTCCAGGATTCTACCCAGCAGAAAAGGAGATATCATCCATTTATTTTATTATCTGCAAAGTGGTGAACATGTACCCACTTGGCCAGATGGATTCCATGCTAGTGTTCAGCTTCCTTCAGGGAATATTTGTGATTCTAGTCAACCAATTCACTGATTTAGGAAAGACAATACTTCTATTCTGTTACTTTAGAGATCTGAGGTTGTCAGTAAAGTTAATGTAGTCATAAAATTACCATTAGCGAGAGAATAGTCTCATTCATTGAGATGTTGGGTTTTTTTGATATGAAAAAGGATATTTTTTCTTTTAGCTTTTGTTTTTTGTGCTAAGAGTCATATAATAATGTGTCCTAGTAAACAATAATATCTCAGAAGATTTTTTGTTTCACGTTGAGTCACACTCAATTTTTGTTTGGAAAATAATTTTAATATCCATAAGTGGTTTTTCAATTTGTTATGAATAATAGAGTCATCCAGTAAGCATTGAATAAAGGTGAAGCTACAGAATTTCTTAATGTTTTAAATTTCATTAGTTTGCAATTTATTAAAGACTAGTATTTCTTAGAATGTTGACATCTCCCATCAGATTATATTATATTCAGAATGTCCCAATCTCAGAAAAGCTCACAGCACTGAAGAGAAGCAATTCAATGATCTTCCAGATACCTCCCTGAGGAAAAAGTTTTAAAATATATGTATCAACTCTCTCCTACATCTTCTGAAACTAAGGGTCAGAGAGTTTGGGTGAAACATTAGAGAAAAACAAAAAACAAGATAAAATCTTGGAGCCCATTTTTTCTTTTTGTACTTCAGTATTTACTTATTCCTATCCTTAGTTCCACAATTATAAATTAATTATAACTTTTATCTTTAAGTTATTAATATAGTATCATTAAAATAAAATAATACTTTGTAGATTATGGGAAGAACATTTCATATCAGTGATATATTGTTAGTTTTTTGTGATAAGAAACATGAAATTTTTTCACAGACTTATTATGTTTGCAAAGAATTCAGAAGGACTTTTTTCCTTAACATTGTTTGCTAGTCAATATTAATTTCCTAAATTTCATGGATATTCATTTTCAGTACTATTAAATAGGCTTTTTTTTAGTTGCAATTATTATCAAACCAATTAAACAATCTTCAGTTAATAAAGAAGAAAAGGAATTTAGCTTACATAACTGAACAAGCCAAGGAATCAGAATCTCACAGTGTCATAATTCTTTCTCCATATTCTCAGTTCTGCTTTTCTCTGTGTTCACTTTATTATGAATTATTTTTATAGAAATAAGGCAGTCGTCAACAACTCCAGGATTATATCTTACTAGTTTAACAGTGCCAACAGGACAGAGAACCTCTTTTCTTACAGTTCCAGCAAAAATCTGAAATTGAGCATCATTGTAATTATTTGAAAAGCCAACCTGAGGCAAGTTCACAATCCGGAAGCTGAATATGTGTCCAACTTCACACAAATCACAAGGGAAAAAAATAGAAAGGATATTTCCCTCAGGAAAATCAGGGCACCATTACTCAGAGAGAGGAAACTGGATTCTCCACAAAGGAAAACAAAAAATGTCCTCCACAGTTTAACAGTAGAAATAGATGAATATACAGAATTCTAAATACATTGGATAATTTATTATTATTAAACATATATTATATAATGTGTGACAATTTTCTAATTTTTCACCTCATATTTTCTATAGGAAATATCACATATATTTTAAGTGAAAGGTACTTAGCCCATTTTCTGGCATTAAGTGGCATTGAATGTATTACAGCTCCTCCTTGACTTTAGACAATAAAATATTATTGTTACAGTATAATTATTATTGAAAAATATTTTATCTCTTATCCATAATCAATGTGTTTCATTTCTATTTTCTTATATTTTTAGAATTTCTTATTTCTTACTCAAATGTTTTCAGAATTTATTTTGTCCACGTGGATACTATATGGAAATAATAACTGAGATTATGGAACAATTTCTTTCAGAACATAAAATGCTTATTTACTTTAAGTTCTCTTGAGAGAAACCAGAGTCGAATTTCAATAAAGCTACACTCATTAAATAATAAAGAAAAAGAATCTTAATGATATAATAATTGCTAATAGAAATTGACCATTAGGGAAGAAAGATTTAGTTAAGGGCTGATTATCTGGAGGAATTGATGCAGGAAGTGGCTGGTAGTCAAAATACCACTCCTACAATGTTCTATCTCCTGTCAATGGTAGAGGGACCCTACCAGTGTCAGAATAAACATTTTCTTGTTGTCCTGTATTCCACCCTTGCCAGCTACTCCAGGGACCCTAATCTACCAACTATCCCCTGCTGCCATCTATCTTCAACCTCTCTCCATAATTCTTTCTTTTCTGCTCATAATCACCACTCTGTTTTCCATCTCTATAATTTTGTCATTTTGTGAAGCTACATGAATCGAATAATATAGTATGTGAAATTTTGAGGTTTTTTTTATATTACTTAACATAATACCCTTGAGATCCATCCAAGTTATTGTATATAGCAATAATTTTTCCTTGATTGCTGTGATTACCTTTTGTTGCATTGTAGCTGAAGAGTTTTACATTTAAATTGTTGCAATATCCACTCAATAATGGACTGAAATGAAAACCGATTGAACTGTGCACATGCATTGTGAAAACAGTAGATAAGAAAACACAATTGGAATAACTACACTTTCTTCAAATCTAATGACAAAATCTAGAAGGAATGAATAGCTTCCCTAATGCTATAATCTGAGTCTGAAAACTTCCTTCCTAAAAAAAAAAAAAATTCTCAAATTATTTGCCCATTTTTAAGTAAGGCTGTTTCCTTGTTGTTGAGTAGTTTGAGTTTCTTGTATACTTTTGATATTAATTGCTTACCTGCTGTATAATTTGCAAATATTTTCTCCCAATCCATGAATTGTCTCTTTATTCTATTGATTGTTCTTTTTATTTATTTATTTTATTTTTATTTTTATTTTTTTTTTTTGCTGTCTAGAAGCCTTTTAGTTTGATTTAATCTTTTTATTTTCTTTTGCTTGTGCTTTGATTGCTTGTGCATTTGGGTTCATACTCAAAAAAATCATTGCCTAGATCAATGTCATGGAGCTTTTCTGTATGTTTTTTATGTTTTTTTCCAATAGTTTTACAATTTAGGTTTTATGTTTAAGTCACTAATTCATTTTGAGTTGCTCATTGTAGATAGTGTAAGATAAGGGCCTAATTTCATTCATCTGCATGTAGATGTCCAGTTTTACCACCACCATCTACTGAAAAGACTTCCCTTTTCTCAGTTTGTATTCTTGGCAACTTTATCAAAAATGTATGGATTTACACCTGAGTTCTGTATTCTGTCCCATTGTTCTGTGTGTCTGTTTTTATGCCAGTACCATGCTGTTTTGATTATTATGGCTTTGTAATATATTTTCATGTTGGATAGTGTGATGCTTCCTACTTCGCTCTTTTCACTCAGGATTGCTTTGATGATTTGGGGTCTTTTGTGATTGTAAGCAAATTTTAGGATATTTTCCTTTAAAAAAAGTCATTGGAATTTTTTGTTTGTTTTTTTTCACTTTTAACTTTTATTTTAGAATCAGGAAGTACATGTACATGATTGTTACAAAGGTATATTGTGTGATGCTGAGGTTTGGAGTATAAATGAATCTGTCACCCAGGTAGTTAGCATAGTAACCAATAGGTAGTTTTTTTCAACTCTCCCCCATCTTGTATTCTCCAGTGTCTGTTGTTCCTATTTTTATGACCATGTGTGCCCAACGTTTAGCTCCCACTTGTAAGTGGAAACATGCAGTATTTGGTTTCCTATTTCTGTATTAGTTTGCTTAGGATAATGGTTTCCAGCTGCATCCATGTTGCTGCAAAGGACATGATTTCATTCTTTTCCATGGCTGCATGGTATTCCATAGTGTATATCTACCACGTTTTCTTTATCTAACCTACCACCGATGGACAGATGGAAACTTAGGTTGATTCCATGCCTTCACTATTGTGATTAGCACTGTGATGAATAAATGGGTGCATATGGCTTTTTGGTAGAATGATATATTTTCCTTTGAGTGTATACCCAGTAACAGGGTTGCTGAGTCTTCTTTTCAGAAGTGTTTGTTCATGTCCTTTGTTCACTTTTTAATAGGGTTATTTCTTTTTTGCTTGTTGACTTGTTTAAGACCCTTATAGATCCTGGATATTAGACCTTTGTCAGATGCATAGTTTGTGAATATTTTCTATAGAAGTCATGTAAATGGCCAACAGATATATGGAAAAATGCTCAACTGCAATTATCAGAGAAATGCAAATTAAAAATACGATGAGACATCACCTCACATCTGTAAGATTGGCTATTATAAAAAACATGAAAATAAACGTTGGTGAGAATGTGGAGAAAAGGGAAGCTTTATACTGTAGAGAAAAGGGAACACTTATACAGGGATGGTGGTATTGTAAATTAGCACAGCCATTCTGGAAAACAGTACAAAGCTTCCCACAATAATAATAATAATATTAACATATGATCCAGCAATCCCACTACTGGAGTATACCCAAAGTACTTGAAATTAATATGCTGAAAAGATATCCACACCCCCATATTTACTGCAGCATTATTCTCAATAGCTCAATATTGTTCATCATTAGATGAATATTTTTAAAATGTGATGTATATATGCAATAAAATATTATTCAGCTTTAAAAACACAGGAAATTCTGTCATTTGCAACAACATGGCTGAACCTAGAGGATATTATGTTAAGTTAAATTCACCAGGCACAGAGAGACAAATACTGTATCATCTCACTTGTATGTGGAATATAAAAACATTGAACTCATAGAAGTAGAAAATAGAAAGACAGTTACCAGTGGCTCTGAAGAGAGTGTGGACGGGAAAAGGGGAGATGTTGGTCAGTGGGTACAAAGCTACTGTTAGATAAGAGACACAGTTCTGACGTTTCATTGCACAGCAAAGAAAATATAATTAATAATTTTGTATTGTTTATTTTAAAGAAAGGATTTTAAATATTCTTGGCACAGAGAAATGATAAATATTTGAGATCATACATATGCTTATTAGCCGGATTTAATCATTCTACATCATACACTCATAGCAAAACATTACACTGTACCCCATAAATATATAATTATTTATCAATTGTTATTTGTCAAGTATTAACAAAATTATTATATGACAAAATTATTTGTCAATTAAAAATAAAACTCTTAAAAATTTAATAAATAAAAAATAGAGTCTCTTGTAAACATTAAAGCAAAACTTCTCTAGGATTTTCTTAGTCCCTGAAATTCCCATTATTAATCAATCCTTTTAATCAAATCTGGCAGCGAATATTCTTTTTTACTTACGATTGCATTATATGTTTAACAGGAACTAAAATATTAATCCATTCTCCCACTAATTGTATTAACAAATATATGAAAGTGCAAGGGGGTTGGGAACTCTAGTCAGTGGAGCAACTAGTTTAAAGAAAATGCATCGTCTATATGTTATTTGAAATTCTAGATTTCTGTGAAGCTCAATGACCTTAAAAACTAAACTAACATAGGGCTGGGTGCGGTGGCTCACGTCTGTAATCCCAGCACTTTGGGAGGCTGAGGCAGGCAGATCACCTGGGGTCAAGAGTTCGAGACCAGCCTGGCCGACATGGTGAAACCCCATCTCTACTAAAAATACAAAAATTAGCCAGACGTGGTGGCGCGCTCCTGTAATCCCAGCTACTCAGGAGGCTGAGGCAGAAGAATCGCTTGAACCCTGGAGGCAGAGATTGCAGTGAGCTGAGATCATGCCACTCCACTCCTGCCTGGGCAACAAGAGTGAGATTCTGTCTCAAAAAAAAAAAAAAAAGAAAAAGAAAAAAAAAAAAAAACTAAACTAACATAAATTTCGTCTTTTGAAGATTTCCCAAGAGCTTCTGCTTAGACTTCACTCCTAGTAACGTTTTTCCCCTCTCTTCCTGAAATTAAAAGTTGATTAGATTGGAAAAGAATTTCTTCATTCCCATTAAGGTTACATTGTATACTTATTCTTCTGGAAAATGAAAAATCTCTGAACATTAGCAATTCAGCAACTCAAAACAATAGGCTTTTTTTGTTTTGTTTTGTTTTTTTGAGACAGAGTTTCATTCTGTTGCCCAGGCTGGAGTGCAGTGGCTTGATCTCAGCTCACTGCATTCTCCACCTCCCGGGTTTAAGCAATTCTCTGCCTCAGCCTCCCGAGTAGCTGGGATTATAGGCGCCCACCACCACGCCCGGCTAATTTTTTTTGTATTTTTAGTAGAGACTTGGTTTCACTGTCTTGGCCAGGCTGATCTTGAACTCCTGACCTAGTGATCCACCCACCTTGGCCTCCCAAAGTGCTGCGATTACAGGTGTGAGCCACCGCACCCGGCCAAAACAATAGTTTTTATAAAGAGACTCAACACATTGAGATGAGTTATGAAACATCTCACGAGCTATATTAGATTTTCAAATATCTAGGATTAAGTTTCAATAAAATAATTTCCTGGGGAAAAAAACCGTCTTAAATAATGACAAGTACTAAATTGTTAAAGTCATAGAAATTATAATGAAATATTACCACATATATGATGGCTTTACAATTTCTAATGTAAAACAGTATCCAAATTTCTGGAGGAGAAACAAGAGACTAGAAATCTCTACAGATTACAAACCAGAAAACTGTTTAAGACTTGCTTTTTATAAAACAACCTTTTGGCACTTCATTTCTAGTATGTGAGGAACTGCCCCAGGAAAAAACAGATTTTCCTCGATCAGAGATCAGAATCAAGTAATTGTTAAAAGCTGTAAAATGCCACTAAGAACGATAAAACAACAGACACACATTCAACTACAGGTTTGAAAGGACACACTTTATACATGCTGTAGATAGGTCTCGGTAAAGGACAGTGTTGTGATAAAGGTTTCCCAGTTCGGACAAGCTTGTGTGACCTCTATCTTCAAAGCATGCAAAGTCCATTTTTCAAGTGGACCCATGCAATTGAAGCCGCTGAGGTTTTATCTGTACCTCTGCATCTGGAATGATGCTACACATTTCCTATAAGACATTGTAACCTAAACCACTCAAAAACAATCTCAGAAACAAAAATATTAATAAAAGCAAAATGAAGGTAATCTGTAAAATCTTTTTGTTTATGCTAGTGGTCTTAATAACATAGGCTCAAATTATTTTAACTGTATTTTAGCAAAGACAACATTGATATGCTTTGCTGCATTCTGTTCATGATGTTATTAAATATTTTATATTTTGCATTCTAAGATATTAAATGTGAGCAGTGTTCTTCCTGAGTGCACTTTATAATTATGTCAGATGTTTATATCATACATGTTGTTTTGAAGTAACTTGAGAGCAAACATAAATTTCTTGCCATAGATACCACATAAACCTACCACTGGCCCTTCACCATCCTGACTTTCTTTTTCTTTTTTTTTTTTTAATTTATTTATTTTATTATTATACTTTAAGTTTTAGGGTACATGTGCACATTGTGCAGGTTAGTTACATATGTATACATGTGCCATGCTGGTGTGCTGCACCCATTAACTCATCATCTAGCATTAGGTATATCTCCCAGTGCTATCCCTCCCCCTCCCCCACCCCACAACAGTCCCCAGATTGTGATGTTCCCCTTCCTGTGTCCATGTGATCTCATTGTTCAGTTCCCACCTATGAGTGAGAATATGCGGTGTTTGGTTTTCTGTTCTTGCGATAGTTTACTGAGAATGATGGTTTCCAATTTCATCCATGTCCCTACAAAGGACATGAACGCATCATTTTTTATGGCTGCATAGTATTCCATGGTGTATATGCGCCACATTTTCTTAATCCAGTCTATCATTGTTGGACATTTGGGTTGGTTCCAAGTCTTTGCTATTGTGAATAATGCTGCAATAAACATACGTGTGCATGTGTCTTTATAGCAGCATGATTTATAGTCCTTTGGGTATATACCCAGTAATGGGATGGCTGGGTCAAATGGTATTTCTAGTTCTAGATCCCTGAGGAATCGCCACACTGACTTCCACAATGGTTGAACTAGTTTACAGTCCCACCAACAGTGTAAAAGTGTTCTTATTTCTCCACATCCTCTCCATCAGCTGTTGTTTCCTGACTTTTTAATGATTGCCATTCTAACTGGTGTGAGATGATATCTCATTGTGGTTTTGATTTGCGTTTCTCTGATGGCCAGTGATGGTGAGCATTTTTTCATGTGTTTTTTGGCTGCATAAATGTCTTCTTTTGAGAAGTGTCTGTTCATGTCCTTTGCCCACTTTTTGATGGGGTTGTTTGTTTTTTTCTTGTAAATTTGTTGGAGTTCATTGTAGATTCTGGATATTAGCCCTTTGTCAGATGAGTAGGTTGCGAAAATTTTCTCCCATTTTGTAGGTTGCCTGTTCACTCTGATGGTAGTTTGTTTTGCTGTGCAGAAGCTCTTTAGTTTAATTAGATCCCATTTGTCAATTTTGGCTTTTGTTGCCATTGCTTTTGGTGTTTTAGACATGAAGTCCTTGCCCATGCCTATGTCCTGAATGGTAATGCCTAGGTTTTCTTCTAGGGTTTTTATGGTTTTAGGTCTAACGTTTAAGTCTTTAATCCATCTTGAATTAATTTTTGTATAAGGTGTAAGGAAGGGATCCAGTTTCAGCTTTCTACATATGGCTAGCCAGTTTTCCCAGCACCATTTATTAAATAGGGAATCCTTTCCCCATTGCTTGTTTTTCTCAGGTTTGTCAAAGATCAGATAGTTGTAGATATGCGGCGTTATTTCTGAGGGCTCTGTTCTGTTCCATTGATCTATATCTCTGTTTTGGTACCAGTACCTACCATGCTGTTTTGGTTACTGTAGCCTTGTAGTATAGTTTGAAGTCAGGTAGTGTGATGCCTCCAGCTTTGTTCTTTTGGCTTGTATAGATGCAGAAAAGGCCTTTGACAAAATTCAACAACCTTTCATGCTAAAAACTCTCAATAAATTAGGTATTGATGGGACATATTTCAAAATAATAAGAGCTATCTATGAGAAACCCACAGCCAATATCATACTGAATGGGCAAAAACTGGAAGCATTCCCTTTGAAAACTGGCACAAGACAGGGATGCCCTCTCTCACCACTCCTATTCAACATAGTGTTGGAAGTTCTGGCCAGAGCAATTAGGCAGGAGAAGGAAATAAAGGGTATTCAATTAGGAAAAGAGGAAGTCAAATTGTACCTGTTTGCAGATGACATGATTGTATATCTAGAAAACCCCATAGTCTCAGCCCAAAATCTCCTTAAGCTGATAAGCAACTTCAGCAAAGTCTCAGGATACAAAATCAATGTGCAAAAATCACAAGCATTCCTATACACCAACAACAGACAAACAGAGAGCCAAATCATGAGTGAACTCCCATTCACAATTGCTTCAAAGAGAATAAAATACCTAGGAATCCAACTTACAAGGGATGTGAAGGACCTCTTCAAGGAGAACTACAAACCACTGCTCAAGGAAATAAAAGAGGATACAAACAAATGGAAGAACATTCCATGCTCATGGGTAGGAAGAATCAATATCATGAAAATGGCCATACTGCCCAAGGTAATTTACAGATTCAATGCCATCCCCATCAAGCTACCAATGACTTTCTTTTTCAAATACAAGACATGGCACAAGTTCTGTCTTACCACACCAAAGTAAACAAACTGACAAAACAACAACAAAAACTCGCTATTACCATGCATTGCTCAAGTTGTCATTATTTGAGTCAATATATTTTATGGAATATATATTTTCCTCTGCAAATATTATTTTGGTGTTTTCACTCACAAATTTGTCCATTGGATTGTAAATTCCTTAGGAGCATGGATTTTAGTCATCATCAAATCCTAGTACTTAGCACACAACAGACAGGCAATTCTTTAGAAATTTTTTGATGGCACACTCACTATGTGCTAGCCATCTTCTAGGGCTAGGGATAAGCAGTAAACCAAATTTCCTACTCAGGTGGATCTGAGATTCTTGTAGGGAAGAGAGTAAACAGATAATTAAAAAAACACATAGTTATATAAAACTATAAAAGTAGTATGGGCCGGGTGCGGTGGCTCACGCCTGTAATCCCAGCACTTTGGGAGGCTGAGACAGGTGGATCACCTGAGGCCAGCAGTTCAAGACCAGCCTGGCCAACATGGCAAAACCCTGTCTCTACTAAAAATACAAAAAATTAGCCAGGTGTGATGGCAAGCACCTGTAATCCCAGCTACTTCGGAGGCTGAGGCAGCAGAATCTTTTGAACCTGGGAGGCAGAGGTTGTTGCAGTGAGCCAAGATTGTGCCACTGCACTCCACCCTGGGTGACAGAGCAAGACTCCATCTCAAAAAAAAAATATATTATGAACACAAAGCGGATAACTGAAATAGAATACCAACTTTATACAACTTTATCATTTAATAAATGAGAAAAATAAGGCTCATAAAAAGACAAAAGACTTTTCCAAATCACCCAGCTAGATAGCAACATAGTCAGCATTTCAATTTTTTTGTTTGTTTGTTTGTTTGTTTTGAGCTACAAATTCAGTGTTATTTCCACAATTGAGTAATGGCTTGCAGTGCTGGAACTGGGAAGAGGACACTATTCGGTAATATAATAAGTTGCTTCTGTTGAGAATAAAGTTTGAATTAACAACTTCTTGTTTAAGTACAAATTCTTTAAAGATAGTCATTGTATTTTAGTTACATAAGATTTATAGCTTTTGAAAGAAAATTTCAAGTTTTTCCTGCTGGAGTTGAATTTTATAGTTTTATAGAAATTTTCTAGCAGACAGTGAAATGTTGCTTTATGGTCAATTACCCTTAATTAGCTTTAATTAAAATTAAAATAATTTTATGGCAAGTATATTCAGAAGTATCCATTTTTGTAGATAAATATATTATTGCTATTTTTAAGATATATTGGGGAAAAATAAAAACAAAAATAGCCCAAACATTTAAATACAAAATGGGGAAAATAAAAAATTCATAAAATAAAATATACATAAATGATCATTCAACATATAAAAATGTACAGTTTCACTAAAAATCAAAGAAATGCAAATTAAAAGATTGATGAACTATTTTTTAAATTTAGCCTTCCAAATTAGCAAAGATTTGTGAATAATAATGGTGATGCTTTGAGAGAGGCACTTTAATCTTATATTTTTGCAGATGGGTTAATTGTCACAAATTTACTAGGGTTCTATTTGACAATATATATCAATTACATTTAAAAATTCTACAGCTTGAACTGAAGACTTACACCTCCAGGAATTATTTTTGAAAATTTTATATATCTATATTTTCTATTGTATTGATAGACAATATTTTACATATTTATGGGAGTACATGTGAGTGTTTGTTACATGCATAGAATATGTAATGACCAAATCAAGGTATTTGGGGTATCCATTAACTTGGGTGTTTATTATTTTTTTACACTGATATCATTGCAAGTTCCTCTCTTCTAGTTACTTTGAAATATACATAATATTATTGCTAAGTATAGTCATTCTAGTCTGCTATCAAAACACTAGAACTTATTTCTTCTATCTAATGATATCTTTATGCCTGTAACCAACCTCTCTTTATTCTCCTCTTGCCCTCGCCCACCCTTCCAAGTCTCTGGTACCCATCATTCTATTCTCTGTATCCATAAGATCAAGATTTTTAGTCCCCACATGTGAGGGAAGGCAGGCAGTATTTGTCTTTCCGTGCTTAGGTTATTCCACTTACACATAATGACCTTCAGTTCTATTCATATTGCTGCACATGACATGACTGCGCTCTTTATGGCTGAATATTTCATTGTGCATATATACCACATTTTAAATGCGTTTGTTCACTGATGACACGTTGATTCCATATCTTTGCAATAAGCATGTGAGTACAGACATCTCTTTGATATGCTGATTTATTTTCCTTTGGATAATCAATACCTAGCAGTGAGATTACTGGACTGTATAGTAGGCCTCTTTTTAGTTTTTTGAGAAATCTTAATACTGTTTTCCACAGTGGCTGTACTAGTTTACATTCTCACTAACAGTGTATGAGTTCCCTTTTCAGCACATCCTTGCCATCATCTGTTAAATTTTGTCTTTTTGATAATAGCCATTCGAACTGGGGTGAGATGATAGCTCATTGCGGTTTTGATTTGCATTTCCCTGGAGATTACTGATGCTGAGCATTTTTTCATATACCTGCTGGCTGTTTGTATGTCTTCTTTGAGAAATGTCTATTCATGTCTTTTGCCCTTTTGCCCATTTTTTAGTGGGATTTTTTTTCTGTTGAGTTGTTGGAATTCCTTGTACATTTTGGATATTCCATGCGGAACAAGTAATTTGCAAATTTTTTCCCCTTCAAGAGGTTGTCTCTTCACTCTATTGTTTCATTTGCTGTGCAGAAGCTTTTTAGGTTATTGAGCTTTATATGTCTAGCATTTGAAATAATATATATAGGATGCATTTTCTTTATATAAATGTTAGGTACAAGATGTTTAGAATTACAAAAACAATAAAATAATCTAAATGTTTAAAAATGAGTGGCATTCAATTAGGAAAAGAGGAAGTCAAATTGTCCCTGTTTGCAGATGACATGATTGTGTATCTAGAAAACCCCATCATCTCAGCCCAAAATCTCCTTAAGCTGATAAGCAACTTCAGCAAAGTCTCAGGATACAAAACCAATGTGCAAAAATCACAAGCATTCTTATACACCAATAACAGACAAACGGAGAGCCAAATCATGAGTGAACTCCCATTCACAATTGCTTCAAAGAGAATAAAATACCTAGGAATCCAACTTACAAGGGATGTGAAGGACCTCTTCAAGGAGAACTACAAACCACTGCTCAATGAAATAAAAGAGGATACAAACAAATGGAAGAACATTGCATGCTCATGGGTAGGAAGAATCAATACCGTGAAAATGGCCATACTGCCCAAGGTAATTTACAGATTCACTACCATCCCCATCAAGCTACCAATGACTTTCTTCACAGAATTGGAAAAAACTACTTTAAAGTTCATATGGAACCAAAAAAGAGCCCGCATTGCCAAGTCAATCCAAAGCCAAAAGAACAAAGCTGGAGGCATCACACTACCTGACTTCAAACTATACTACAAGGCTACGGTAACCAAAACAGCATGGTACTGGTACCAAAACAGAGATATAGATCAATGCAACAGAACAGAGCCCTCAGAAATAATGCCGCATATCTACAACTATCTGATCTTTGACAAACCTGAGAAAAACAAGCAATGGGGAAAGGATTCCCTATTTAATAAATGGTGCTGGGAAAACTGGCTAGCCATATGTAGAAAGCTGAAACTGGATCCCTTTCTTACACCTTCTACAAAAATTAATTCAAGATGGATTAAAGACTTACATGTTAGACCTAAAACCATAAAAACCCTATAAGAAAATCTAGGCAATACCATTCAGGACATAGGCATGGGCAAGGACTTCATGTATAAAACACCAAAAGCAATGGCAACAAAAGACAAAATTGACAAATGGGATCTAATTAAACTAAAGAGCTTCTGCACAGCAAAAGAAACCACCATCAGAGTGAACAGGCAACCTACAGAATGGGAGAAAATTTTTGCAATCTACTCATCTGACAAAGGGCTAATATCCAGAATCTACAATGAACTCAAACAAATTTACAAGAAAAAACAAACAACCCCATCAAAAAGTGGGCGAAAGATATGAACAGACGCTTCTCAAAAGAGGACATTTATGCAGCCAAAAGACAGATGAAAAAATGCTCATCATCACTGGCCATCAGAGAAATGTAAATCAAAACCACAATGAGATACCATCTCACACCAGTTAGAATGATGATCATTAAAAAGTCAGGAAACAACAGGTGCTGGAGAGGATGTGGAGAAATAAGAACACTTTTACACTGTTGGTGGGACTGTAAACTAGTTCAACCATTGTGGAAGTCAGTGTGGTGATTCCTCAGGGATCTAAAACTAGAAATACCGTTTGACCCAGCCATCCCATTACTGGGTATATACCCAAAGGATTATAAATCATGCTGCTATAAAGACACATGCACACGTAAGTTTATTGAGGCACTATTCACAATAGCAAAGACGTGGAACCAGCCCAAATGTCCAACAATGATAGACTGGACTAAGAAAATGTGGCACATATACACCATGGAATACTATGCAGCCATAAAAAATGATGAGTTCATGTCCTTTGTAGGGACATGGATGAAGCCGGAAACCATCATTCTCAGCAAACTATCGCAAGGACAAAAAACCAAACACTGCATGTTCTCACTCATAGGTCGGAATTGAACAATGAGAACACATGAACACAGGAAGGGTAACATCACACACCGGGGCCTGTTGTGGGGTGGGGGGAGTGGAGAGGGATAACATTAGGAGATATACCTAATGTAAATGACGAGTTAATGGGTGCAGCACACCAACATAGCACATGTATACATATGTAACAAACCTGCACGTTGTGCACATGTACCCTAAAACATAAGTATAATAATAAAAAAAGTGAGAAAGTTATTTAGCAAATTAAAAATTATGATATATTCAAAAATTAAGTATGTCAATAGAAATATTTTCAAAAATTAATATAGAAAAATTTATATTTTATTAAGCACAAATCATAAAGAAAAACATATGAACTCTGATCATGAAAATGGCATATATAAAGTTTGTATGCAGATTTAATTGTATTTAGGAACAACAACAAAAAAAAAAACCTAGGGAAAGTTTACCAAAACTAATGCTAGCAACAGGTATTGCTCTCTTCTGGAATTAGGTGATTTTTGTTTTCTTCATCACAGTTTTTTATTTACCTAAATTTTCTATAGTTGTCTATACTATAATATATAAGTACTGTCTTTCTAAAAATTGTTATTATTTGGTTGTTTTATAATAAGAGTAACAAGACAGTATGTTTAAATGCAGAGTTAACCATTGCTACCTGCCATCCCACCACCTATATCTGTTTTTGTCCCACTGAAGTAAAAATGTTAACAAGCCTGGGTGCATCTTTCCACATTTTTCTTCTGGGTGCTACAAAACTATACATATTTAAACATTAGTTTCTAGCTTCTTTTACCAAAATTTTATTATGCTCTTTATTTTGCAATTCTCTTTTTTCACTTAACAGTTTATCATGATCACCTAAGAAGCAGATAGATCTGATTCTGTATAACTATTCAAATTGTTTATGTATATATTATTTGCACAGACTTTGCTTCCATTTTACTGAAATGGAAGCAAGTCATGTGTATTTTTTTAACTACTATTTTTTTAAACTTTCATTCAATCTGATAACCATTTAGCCATTTTATTTTCACTCCCAGATGGTAATCTATAAAAATTTGCTTATATAATTTCTTACATATATAGGGGCTTTATTAGCTTTTTGAAAATATATTTATATGCATCTGTTTGCATCTTACTTTTATTGCTTAATGCTATTTCATGGGACTTTTCAGGCCAACTATGCTAACTCAATCTTTTTAATGACAGTCTAATATTCCATGCTGTTGATATGCCATAATAAATCCAACTATTCCTCTATGACATTCTTTTTACAATGAGGCAGTTAACATCCCTGAACATCTATCCTAATGAATTGATGCTTTTAATTGCTATGGTATAGGTTTACAGGATTAGCATTACCAGGCCTAACCATATGTATTTTTTGAAATAAAGTAGTGCTAAGTTTTTCTTCCTGTCAAAAAACCTATAAGAATGTACATTTCTTATATATGATGTTACATTAGGATTAGAAGTAAAAGTATTCTCAGAGCAAACAGGAAATGGGTTAAATGAAAATAACAGTTTAATTTACTTTGCTATTTTGAAAAATAAATATAACATCCAAGCCAAAAAAAAAAAAAAAGAATGTACATTTCTACCAGCAATAGCTGAGACTCTATTTTTCCAAACATCCCCACTAGCAATAAGGATTATTGCCAGTCTGATGACTATGAAATAGTATTTTATTGATACTTTCATGGGCATTTCCCTGATTAATATGAATTTCATTATATTTTTATGTTTATTGGCCTTTGAACTTTCTCTAGAATAAAATGATTACCCATAGTTTTTTGCCCAAGTTTTCATTGCATTTTATCTTCTTCTTATCAATTTGTTAACTATTTTTTATTGGATTTTAGCTTTTATCATCTTCATTACAAATTTTGTATCAAGAATTCTTTATATCTGTTTTATAGTTTATGCATTTCTGTTCCTGTTTTAGAAAATCTTGTTCATTCCCAGATTTTAGATGTAGCCTCCATGGCTTATTTCTAAAATTGCTATTTCTTAATTCATTTGGAATTTATTTTGCATATAATATGAAGTAGAGGTTCAACTTAGTTTTATCCTGAAATAATACCCAGATATATTTATCAAATAAATCACATTTTCTCCTACCAAATTCTTATTGCCTGTGTCATACATTAAGTTTTCATGTATTCTGCAAGCAATTTGTAGATTTTTTAAATTTATTATTATTATATTTTAAGTTTTAGGGTACATGTGCACAACGTGCAGGTTTGTTACATATGTATACATGTGCCATGTGGGTGTTTTTCTGCTACAGCTGTATGATCTGTTTTTAATATGGGCTATTTGCTAAATCAAATCCTCCCTTAGTAATCTTCTTTTCAGTGTTCACTTGGCTATTCTTAGACATCTATTCTTCCGTGAGAAATTTGTTTTATGTGTTTTAAACCACAAAATATTAAAACTTATTGTGATTCTAATTGCAATAAACTTCCCTCAAAAAATCAGAATATTTCATTGTTCATATTTTTACGTCCTTCAATAAAGTTTTATAGTTTTCTATAATCTGACATGGTTTAACTAACATTGTAGTGGCTGTTTTTTTTTTTTGCTCTAATGTTTTCTATTTTATTTCATTAGGCTTTTTAAATATTCAGATCAATTCCTCTCGATAGATTTTATAATATGTGCTTAGACTTCAGATTTTCACTCTATAGACTCCCACTCCGCTAGTTTCTTTGTTTGTTATAAACTCATGTCATGCGAGTGTGTTGTACAGATTATTTTGTCACACAGGTATTAAGCCTAGTACCCATTAGTTATTTTTCCAGATCCTCTCCCCACTCCCACTCCCACCCTCCACCCTCAAGTAGGGCCCAGTGTGTGTTGTTCCTATTTGTCCATGTGTTCTCATCATTTAGCTCCCACTTATAAGTGAGAACATGCAGTATTTGGTTTTCTGTTCCTGCGTTAGTTTGCTAAAAGGATAATGACCTCCAGCTCCATCCATGTTCCTGCAAAGGACATGATCTTTTCATTTTATAGCTGCATAGTATTCCATGGTATATATGTATCATATTTTCTTTATCCAGTCTATCATTGATTGGCATTTAGGTTGATTCCATGTCATTGCTATTGTTAATAGTGCTGCAATGAACATTTGCCTGCATGTGTCTTCATAGTAGAACAATTCATATTCCTTTAGGTATATACCCAGTCATGGGATTGCTGAGTCGAATGGTATTTCTGTTTTTAGGTCTTTGATGTCTTTGCTTTCCACAAGGGTTGAACTAATTTACACTCCCACCAACAGTGTATAAGCGTTTCTTTTCCTCTGCAACGTTGCCAACATCTGTTATTTTTTGACTTTCTAATAATAGCCTTTCTGACTGGTGTGAGATGGTATCTCATTGTAGGTTTGATTTGCATTTCTCTAGTGATCAGGGATATTGAGCTTTTTCTCATATGGTTGTTGGCCACACGTATGCTTCTTTTAACGAGTGTCTGTTCATGTTCTTTGTCCACTTTTTAATGGGGTTATTTATTTTTTTCTTGTAAAATTGTTTAAGTTACTTTTAGATGCTGGATATTAGACCTTTGTCAGATGCATGAATGACTGCTTTTTAAAAGCCAGTAAAATTTGGCTATAAATCTATGTTATCCTGGTACCTTTTTAATGTCATCATTTTAATATCTTTACATTTATTTCTATAGTAATTGTTCACTTTGTTCGTTTCTTCTTATGTTCATCTTAGTAATTTCTATTTTTACAGAAAATTATTTATGTAGAATTTTAACCCCATTTCCAGTATATTACATGTAGCATTCCCTGAAAATTCTTTTAGTGTTTCTATTTAAAAGAATTACAGTTTTAGGACTCCTTTCTCTTTTTTTATATTTTTGATTTTCTGTTTTCTTGAATGTATTTATTTGTGTCTTATCTACCTCATTAGTTGTTTTGAGTTATAAGAATCAGATTTGAGACCTGTTTTTATTTCCAAGATTTTTTTCTAAATAACTGATTTTATTTTTTATCTTCATTGATTCCTTTTTGTCTATCTTTATTCCTAATACTTATTATTTCTTAGTCTGACTTCTTTAATACCTAGGGTAGGTGTGGCTATATATTTGTTTCTGAGTACAGTTTTTGTTGCTTTCCATTCATTCTGATGTGAAAGATTAAGTGCTTAATTTCTTAAAAATGTAATGCCAGTTTTGATATCCTCCTTTGTCTGAGTTATTGCCAGTGGTACTTCTTAAATTCTATGTAGTGAAATATTTGGAAAAACATATTTGAAAATAATGTATTTTCATTATTACTGATTATAGTCAGAAAACATAAAAATTTATTTGCAACAGATGAAATTGAATCTACTGGTATACTCTTTTTGCATTTTTGTTTTGTGGTTCGAGACATTCTTCCTCTTCCATTCCAGCCTACTAATTTAAGACTCGTCTTGACATTCATATCTATTAACTTTTTGTTCAAAAATTATGTTTGTCATTCTAGAAATGTTATTGTTTTGTTCCTGAATGTTTTAAATATTTTTTGTTGTTGTTGTTGTTGCTGTTTTTTGGTCGGGTTGCTTTATGTCTCCTCAAGCAGATCTATTCATTAGAGCATCTTTCCTAGTTGTGTGTTCTCTGTCTCTCTCTCATTGTTATCTTCCCCCCACTTAGACATGATATACATTTCTTCATATATTCAATGGGCTTTTGCTCCACTTGCCCAGTCAATAATGGATGGTGCAATGGCATCTTCTCTTGTATGCAGTGTACATTAGCATCAACTTGTCAGCCTTCCAAAGCATCTGGAGGCAGCTCTCTGCTCCTCTGTTCCCTTGTGCTCTTGAAGGCTTAAGTGGGGATACAATTTAGTTCTCACCTGTTTAACTACTCTTTGGCCTGCTAAAGACAGAACATGAAGACCTGAGGAACTTTTACCATAATATTAATCTTTTCCTCTTCCTGATAATCCAGGGATCCTCATGGATCAAGCTCTTCCTAGAAAAAGCTTTGTTCAGATCTTTATCCCAGAGGCCTCCAAGGCTGCTTTCCACACCTTTCTCCAAAACAGAGGGTGAAAACCCTCCAGTCGCTTTTTCTGTAACTCCCCCAGCAAGTCTCAATGGTAGACTCAGCAAAGAGAATGAATTTAATTTGATATTGATAGTGGGAGAAAAGTGGGATGCATTAGGGGGCCACATTTTTAGAATTTTTTTTCTCTGTCCATTGTATTACTTATACAGTTGTTCTGTCTTATCTGCAGTTTTCGTTGTGCCTGGTGTGAATTACCCATAACCTAACATGGTCTGAAAATATTAACTGGAAAATCCCAGAAACAAACAATTCATAAGATTTAAGTTGTGCATCATTCTGAGTAGCATGATAAAATCTCTCTCCATTCTGCTGTGTCCCTCTCAGGAATGTGAATCATCCCTTTGTCCAGCGTATCCACACTGTCCACACTTTCTGCCTATTAGTCACAAACCCTCTCAGTATTAGATTAACTCTCGCAGTATCACAGTGCTTGTGTTCAAGTAACACTTATTTTTCTTTATAATGGCCCTAAAGCACAACATTAATGATGTTGGCAATTGGGATTCACCAAAGAGAAGCCAGGAAGTGCTTCCTTTAAGTAAAAAGGTGAAAGTTCTTGATTTAAGAAAAAAATTATATTTCAAGGTTGCTAAGATGTATAGTAAAAAGATATTTTGAGAGAGAAAACACATTCACATAACCTTTATTATAATATATTGTTACAATTTTTCAATTTTATTATTAGTTACTATTAATCTCTTACTGGTCCTAATTTATAAATTCAAGTTTATTATAGATATTTATTTATAGAAAAAAACAGTATTTTTAGGGTTTAGTACTATCCAGGGTTTCAGGAATCCACTGGGAGTACTGAAATGTATCCCTCATGAGTAAGAGATGACAGAATCCTTATTGTGTAATCAGAATAAAGTAACATTTTAAAATTAGGTATACTTACTCCCAGCGAGCATATGGGAAATTTCTGCACTTTACACTCAATTTTACAGTGAACCCAAAACTGCTCTAAAAATGGTCTATTTATTTTTTAAAAAATGAGGAATGTAGAAGTAAATATATTTGAACATAATTTGAAAGTTTAAAGTGTCCCATAAATAGCTTATACTTACTTGTCTTGTGTAATATTGACTTGACATTTATACCTACTTGTTCTTTATGGCATGCACAAAACACAACTGCTTTTTGTAAAGAATTTCTTCCAACAGTACAGAGGAAGACAAACCTTCAGTTAGTCACTAATGCAAAATTATTAAACCAAAAAGATAAAATTTAGAAAAATTTTTCAGAATATACAACTAAACACTTTTTTCCTAAATGTATGCCCATGTAAATATGTGCATTCAGACAAATCTTGTATTACAGAAAATGGCACAACCTGTATCCATACCTCTAAGAATGAAATAAAAGGCATATAACCTGTTTTTATATAATCTAATCTGTAGAGCCCCACATTAAATGTGAACCTTCTGAAGATCTCAAAACACAGTCCTTGGGCATTATTAGCAAAAATGACGTGTACCAGCTGCCACTGATTCTGCCAATGCTTTCAGAGTTACAGCTTATGTTATCCTGTTATTTCCCCAGACTTATTAGTGTTTTCATTTCTTGTTGTATTTCTTTATGATATGGCTCTACCTAGGACTGTTCTGTGAAACCAAGAAATTATTTTATTATTTATTATTATTTTATTTTTCTGCTTGAAGAGCACAATGAGTATCAGGTGGAATGGAGACAAGCAGATAAAACTGTCTCAGGTTTTTCAGAACTACAACTTGACAAATATTTTTATGTTGTAGTAAATTAAAATATTTTCCAATTAAGAGAAAAAAATTCTTACCAAACATCTGATTATGGTAAAAAAAAGTAGAATACAGATTACTAAATCATTATAATTTGCATTCCAAGTATAGAGAATAATGAATAGGAAGAATATAAAATAGGAAATAGATGTTTTTAAAATTAATATTTCCATCTAAAGCCAGTCATGCAGATTTATGACATATGACAAATACCTTCCAAAGAAAGAATAGTTCTAGTATTATTTTTCCATAATAAATAGACCCAAAATAGAAAAACAGAAAATAGCTCATTTTAAAGAAGATATTTTAGTATGTCTTCTAAATGTCCGTGATCTCCATTCCAAGTCTTTTTAAAGACTTTTTTTTTAGAGTAATTTTAAGCTCACAGAAAAATGAAAAGGAAGGTACAGAGATTTCACATATATCCCCACATATGCATAGCCTCCCCCATTAGCAACATTCCCCACCGAAGTAGTACATTTGTTACAACTGATGAACTTGCATTGACACATCACTACCCAGAGTCCATAGTTTACATTAGGGTTCACTCTTGGTGTTGTACGTTCTATGGATTAAGGCACATCTGCAAAGTCCCTTTCCCCATGTAAGGTAACATATTCACAGGCTCTGGGGATTCGAGTATGGAACTTTTGGGGAGGTTTTATTCTGCCTACGGCAAGATATGATAATAATAACACTATTATTTTTATTTTTCAACTAAATTGCTTCAGTATTCTTACACTGTAAAGTTAAAATTAATAATAATAAAGAAAAATGGTAAAGTGCATTATTACTCTATCGGTCCTTTGGTAAGGATTGCAACAGTAAAAGGAGAAAGCGAATTATAATCTATTCTCTACCCTAGTCCCACAAACTCAGGCCCTGGTCTAATTATTTTCAGTAAATCTTAAGTGATTTGTTGTAGACAAAGGAGTTTATGGCTTGATAAATACTCCCAATCTGTTGAGTGAAAGTCTACAGTTTTACTGAGCAAAGGCATGTATAGAGCACTGTAAAATTTTATATAACTCAGGGGTACAAAGTGTGACCAAGACTGAATAGTTCTATGTCATCATGACCTGTGATTTCCTGTGAACGTCTGCAGAAGCTTGTCTATATTAGGACTGGGTCAAGAAAAACTTCACCCTCAGCCATCGTGTTACATTGTTTTGCCCGAGAAGACAGACCTGTTATTTTGAGCTTGTCTGTCAACGTGGCATGCACTTCACATCAGTTCACCTTTTTCCTATCCATGGTTTACTTTTTATAGATTCATCCTAATCCCATGTCCAACATGAACTCTTTCTTGAGAATCAGTACCTATATTTTGGGGGACTAAAGTACTATATTTATGGATGTGGTTGATTCAATTCTTGCAAGCACCTGTAATTGCTTGTAAAATTAATTTTATCTGAAATAAATGGATATTCTCGGTTTTTTTTTTGTTTTACCATGGAATCTTTTGTGTAACCTTCTGAATATAGCCTCCTTTTTGCCTAAAAGCAAGTGTGATACCTTTACTAAGAATGATAAAGAAATGCTTTACCATGAAAGTGAGCACATCCTCTGTAATGGGTCAAATTGTTTCTAGTTCCTTTACAAATCCGGCTGCAGAAATTACAGATCTGAGACAAATGGTTTTCTTTTTCACCAGTGCATTTCCTTTGTTGAGTTTAAGAAATTTTGGGCTGGATGTGTTGGCTCATGCCTGTAATCCCAGCACCTTGGGAGGCCAAGGAGGGTGGATCCTCTGAGGTCAGGAGTTCGAGACCAGCCTGGCCAACATGATGAAACCCTGTCTCTACTAAAAATACAGAAAATTAGCCAGACTTGGTGGTAGATGCCTGTAATCCCAGCCTACTTGGGAGGCTGAGGCAGGAGAATTGCTTGAACCTGGGAGGTGGAGGTTGCAGTGAGCCAAGATCGTGCCACTGCACTCCAGCCTCGGCAACAAGAGTGAAACTCTGTGTCAAAAAAGGAAGTTAAAACAAACTAAAAAAGAGAAGTTTTGGCACAGGAATTTATTGTTGCTGTTCATCACTATAGTGTGTTAGTCTCAAGTAACAGTCACTCAGTCTAAAAAAATACTTCATACTACTAAATTGTCCTGACTCAGGGTTCTGGGGATAGGACAAGAAGACCAGCTGGTTTACTAATATGTAGTTTGCCACTCTGCAGACAACAACAAGAATGAGGTACTAATAGAATGCTGCTTCTACAGTAGAACCACAAAACAGTAGCAAATTTTGTAGGAACGATCACACAATGAAAGCATATTAACAAAATTGTAATCATTTCAGGAAGTGAACTTATATTACCTATGTGTCCTTGGAGCAGCCCGGCATACTGCTTGTGATTCAGCAATGCTCAATGAACTTAAAAAGCTGCTGAAGGTGCAACATCTGGTGTGGCAAGCACATGAGAAGCATGAGGTTTCCTAGGCAGAGCCTGTGTGCTCTCCACAGTGGCTCAGCCTCCCTCTTGCTGCATTCACAAGGCATACACCACTAAGTTTTAACTTAATTCATTCAGCCTAGGCCATGTCTTGATGAAAGCCAATAAATTCCAAATCATAACTGAGGCAAGTTCAGTCTCCTTTCAGGTTGCAAGTCTAGTCCTCAATAAAGCTGGGGAAAAAAAGTAGATATTTCACTCTGCATTTTCATCCAGAGATCAAAATCATGAATATTGATGCCTTGACCTAAATTGATATCTTATTAGAAATCCAATAGACTCCAAAACAAAAATAAAAAACAATAATAACAAAAAGGCAGAAACATGAGCATTTAATTTTCACTACAAATGTAAAGTGGCCAGTTATGAAAAGTATACACCTTGGCATTGAAGGTTACTTAGAAAATTTCAAAATACTCTGCATAGATATAGAATTTTGCTGAGAAATCTGTATCATAATCTGCATATACCATTTTACATTAATAACATTCTAGGTGGCATATGCATTTTTAACGTGGAAAATTGAAAGTTTTAAATGAAATTAAGTCACTATAAAATCAACTCTCTTTTCTAGATCGGAAGCAATAAACATACTTTAAAACTTACTATAGCAATTGATAAATATAATATGTAAACACATTGTACCATGACACACTGAGTTGTAGTTTTTGTTGCTATTTGAGGCATAACATACACTGGATTGTATTTTTGCAGAGAACATTATGTTGGGTTGGGAATTATTTCACTGTCCTTTTTCAATAGAACTCTGACACTAGGCCACATCTTTATTCAGACATGCTTCCTTTGTCATTCACATTTTTTCCCTATGAATTGTTATTATTTTCTAGGTTCAAAGTCATTCTTAGTTGATTTGAAAAACTAACGTGTATATTGAATTTTATATTAAATTTTTCCCTCTCGTCATCAGTGAAGTAATACACATAGTGAGAGATCCATTTTTTTTCTATTTTATTAAGGTTGAGGCTTAGAATCAGAAAAGTACATTGAATTCATCTCAGTCATAGTTCAGCATTCATTTGCTTGCATAAGGACATGGCATAATGACTAGAATATTTAAATTTTGTGTTCAGAAATCCTTAGACTCATTGTTAGTAAGTGAGAAGTCAAATAAATAACTGCAAAAGAGAATGCCAAAGTGACTTACTTTGACTTACATATAAAATATTAACAACAGGCCAGGTGCAGTGGCTCATGCCTGTAATCCCAGCACCTTGGGAAATGAGGCGGGCAGGTCACTTGAGGCCATGAGTCCGAGACTAGCCTGGCCAACATGGCAAAACACCATCTCTACTAATAATACAAAAATAAGCCAGGCATGGTGGCAGGTGCCTGTAGTCCCAGCTACACGGGAAGCTGAGGCATGAGAATTGCTTGAACCCGAGAAGCAGAGTTTGCTGTGAGCCAAGATCGCACCACTGCAGTCCAGCCTGGGCCACAGAGTGAGACCCCATCTCAAAAAATATAATAAAATATTATTATCAAATAGGAAACAATTATATCTAAGAAAGTATGCAATTTTGGATTTTGTTCATCGGTAAAAAGTTGAGATGGTGATTCCACTTGTTTTACTAGGAATTAAATTTACTCACTAAGAACATTTTGTTCACTCTTCCTATCACTGTGAATACTAAATCCATTTTGAATACAGCCTAAATAATTAAATTATAAAATGAGGCCCCACAAGTAAGGATGAAGAGCTTTACCTCCTGAAAATGACAATTTTCCCTAATCTTCAATTAGAAGAACAAAATCAAAATTATTGCCACATTCATTTTATGCTTTTACAAGGACTGTATTTCCATAAATATATTATACTAACAATTATTATTGACTTTTACCAGAATAGACACACAAGCCATTTTCTGTGCTCGTATAGAGTAGCAATATTTAACATGCCTTACAGTCCTTATTATACATGACTTAAATTTCTCTTGCTGAAGTTTGAGGCCTTGGAGCTCATAAATATTTTAGAAAACACATAAATAGCTCTTTTTCATTGCATGATGAAAATTAGATGGCCAATTCCTTCCCATAGCTCTTCTACTTACATAAATTTGTGTTTTTCTAAGCTTTTGCTGGTATTAATTTTTATTATTTTTTAGGTATAATTCTTTGAAATATTGTTAGACAAGTGCTCTAGGGATTACATTCCTAACTTTTCACATTCTAGTTACAATTAATATTATACCACTGCACATAAAATATCAAAACCATATAGCCATGTAGGTCCATTTATTTCTTTATCCTTTATTCCATTCATGTATATCACATTTAAATATGTTATAAATCCCACAATCAAATGTTATAACTTTTCTCTAAGCAATTATTTATATTTTAAACAAATTATAAGGAGGAAAAATAACCTCTTATATTTAACCACATATTTACCATTTCCAGTGTGCTTTATCCCTTCCTGAAGAATCATCTGGTCTGAGTTGCCATCTTCCAGAATAATGTTCTTTTGCATTTTTCTGAAGTGCAAATGTACTGGTTTTCATTTACCTGAAAATGGCTTTAATTTACCTTCACTCTTTAAGAACATTTTCAATGGATATAGAATTCTTGGTTGATAAGTTACCAATCTCAAGCAATTTTGAAATCCAACCAAGTAAACTTCATTTGTTTTTAACAGCTGAAAACAGTTGTCTATAATTTAACAATCCACCCTCTGGGATCAGTGAACCCTCATGAACAATCCTTCCCTATTGTGAAAGATAATACAGTGTTTGAAGCTGAGTAGTTTTACCATCTTGTATCTTACCTACAGAATTTTGGGAGACAAACAGCATTCCTTTATTTTGTATTCTTTCTGTACTTTTTAATTCAAACTGGCAGTGTTTCTGCTGATATAAAGTTTTCAAGACCAATGCATGGATCTCCAATATATGTCACACAAATTTACTCCATTAGACACGTGTCTTTTCCATGGATCTTTTCTAGAAACCCACTCTTTATGGTCTAGTTTCTCCTGACTTCCGCTGTCTCTAATGAAAAGTCTGCAATCATTGAAATTGTGTGTTCTTCTATATATAATGGATCATTTTTCTTTAATTTTTCTATTTTTGACTTCTGATGAAATGGCTAATCTGACTCATGTACTTACTCTTTTTTTTTCTTTTCTTTTCTTTTTGAGACACAGTCACTCACTCTGTCACCCAGGCTAGAGTGCAGTCATAGGATCTTGGTTCACTGCAACCTCTGCCTCCTAGATTCAACCGATTATCCTGCTTCAGCCTCCAGAGTAGCTGGGATTACAAACATGTGCCACCACCACTGGCTAATTTTTGTATTTTTAGTAGAGATGGGGTTTCACCATTTCGGCCAGGCTGTCTCAAACTCCTGACCTCAAGTGATCCACCCACCTTGGCCTCCCAAAGTGTTGGGATTACAGGCGTGAGCCACTGTGCCTGGCCACATACTTACTTTTTTCAAAAAGCCTTTTATATGAATGAATTTTATGACCTAATGATCTTTCTGAAGGATTAGCAAAAGGTCGTCCAACCATACCCTCACTTGCTTTGAGTTTGGGGGGGTTTTGTTGGTTTGTTTCCAGAGCACGTTTTCCTGACAGTTAATCTTTTAATTTTAGTGTCTTGCAATCTGGATAGGCTGAGATTTTCCAAAGTGATCCAACCCTAGTCCTTTTTGTTTAATGATTTTTCAAACATTTTATTTGTTTCCACTCACAATTTACTGTAAGAAGCAGGAAGAAATCAGAACCCAGTTTTGATATTTGCTTGGATGAGATAGCCTCAGCTAAATATCCACATTAATTACTTACAAATTCTACTTCCCATATACCTGCAGAATACAATTTTGCTAGATTTTCAGCCACTATATATCAGGGATTTATTTTTTTCCAGTTTCCAATAACATGTTCCTTATTTCCTTCTGAGTTTTCCCTAGCGGTTATTAACATCCATATTTTTACTAACAGCCTTTTCAAGGAAATCAATTTTTCTATAATGCTCCTTAAAATTCTTCCATCTTTCATATATTGCCCAATTCCAAGGCCACTTCTACACTTTAGGTATTTGTAACAGTAGCAGCCCACTGCCAGTACAAAAATCTGTATTCTTTTCTATGGGTTTTGTAACAAATTACTTCAAATTAAGTGGATTAAAATAATGCATATTTATCTTACAGTTCTAGACATCAGAAGTTTGAAATGGTTATCACTGGGCTAAAGCCAATGCACTGGCAACACTGCATTCTTTTCTGAAGACCTTCAACCCAGAATATATTCTTTTTTGTCTTTTCTAATGTCTAGAAGCTGCCCACATTCCTTGACTCATGCCACCTTCCATCTTCAAAGCTAACAATGGCTAGTCTAGTCTTTCTCATACTGTATCACTCTGATACTTCTGCCTCCATCCTCCACATTTAAAGACCCTTATGATTACATTGGGCTCACTCATGTATTCCAGAAAAATCTCCCTTTTTCTGGGTCAAATGATTAGCAACCTGAACTCCATCTGCTTCCTTAATTCCATTTTTTCATGTAATTTAACATATTCACAGTTTCTGGGCATTAGAACATGGACAGTTTGGGAGGCCGTTATTTGGCCTACCATAGCCAGTTTAAAGTTCAAACTACCTTCCTTGCAATGGTGGCAGCCCAAATCTCAGTTCACTCCTTTAGCGTGAGATAACACTTCTAGGAGTCTGCACCACATATGGGTTGTTCTGGTCAGCCAGAAAACTGTTAGAATTTATACATAGAATTCAGGGCCCTACCTTACAGGTTCTGTTATTTCCAGGATCTCATCTGACATTATTCAGCGACTATGGTTGACCCAAACTCTGTCCTCAGGTTCTTCAATCTAGAAAGACTGTAGGTATTCTACTGGAGTTTTAGCTCCCCTACAAGATGAAGACTGGTGCCTGTCATCAGTTGAAAAGCAATATATCAGTCAGGCATGGTGGATCATGCCTGTAATCCCAGCAATTTGGGAGGCCCAGGAGGGCAGATCACCTGAGGTCACGAGTTCAAGACCAGCCTGGCCAACATGGTGAAACACCGTCTCTACTAAAAATACAAAAATTAGCTGGTTGCGGTGGTGAGCACCTGTAATCCCCGCTACTTGGGAGCCTGAGGCAGGAGAATCGCTTGAACCTGGGAGGCAAAGGTTGCAGTGAGCTGAGGTTGAGCCACTGCATTCCAGCCTGGGTGAGCAAGACTTCATCTCAAAAAAAAAAAAAAAGAAAAGAAAAGAAAAGAAAAGAAAAGCAATATATCTGGAAAACTCATTTAGCATAATTCCCTTCTACAATGTTTTGATTTTTTTCCAGCATCTGTCTGCTTTTTGACACTGTCTACTGCCTTCAGGAAGTTTTGTCTTTCTTCAAAGATAAAATATAACTGTCATCTGCATGAAGGTTAGTCTAAGGGTTGATCTGAGTTATTTAGTCATACAGAAGCCTTGATATTCATTTTAAAACTTATTGGTGACTTTATTTACTTGCTTCAATACGTCAAATTCCAATAGAACAATGTGGTTTTTTTTGCCTTACATCATCACCTCTATCACTCATTTTATTTCATAATAACTCTCTTAGTACCTAATGCAGTCTCTCTTGCTATCAGATATTTTTAGGAAAATATTTTTATTGAAATTTAAAATATATTATTAAAAATGCACAGATAACAAGTGTACCACTTGATGAATTTTTCTCAAGATAAACAGACCATAGTAGCCAGCAACCAGATCAGGAAATAGAATATTATCAGTGCCACCGACAATCACCTTATGCCATCTCCCAGTCACCATAAACCCTCTTCCCTAAAGCTAATAATTATCTTGACTGACTGTTACCATCACTACTTAATTTTCCTCATTCTAGAACTATATATAAATACACAATAAATATGAATTTTTTGTGTGTCTAGTTTCTTTCTCCCAGCATTGTATTTGTGAGAATCATAAAAATTGTTTGTATGTAGCAATGGCTTATTCATTTAACTTTATTCATTTTAACACTACTCCCATTTCTCCCAAGTGTATAATATTCTCTAGTATAAAAAATTATAATTTATTTATCTGTTCTACTCTTGGTGGATATTTTGATTGTTTCTGGTATGGGACTATTACAGATAGACTACTGTGAACATTCTGGTGCATGCCTCTTAGTGTTATATAAATTCATGTTGCATGTATATCTACCAGTGGAACTGCTGGCACATGGGGCTTGCATATGTTCAGATTTAGTTGATACTGACAAACAGCTTACCAAAAAGTTGATATCAATCACCAGCAATGAATGAGGGTTTCATTTGCTCCACATCCTTCCCAATACTTAGTTGTTTTATGATGCAATGCCAGAAAATTTTTCCTGTCCTAAGTTTTTCTGTCCTAGCCTCCTTAACCCAGACATTTTCTCTCTAAAAGAAGGACCAGTGAGAACCATGAGGAAAATGAAAAACATTTTGTAAAATAATTTCCATAAATCAATAATCCAGTGTCCTAAGAAAGTGTCAAATAATTGTTCAATATTACCAACTAGAATACTTAAAATAAGGGACTCAAATGCAAAAGCAAATATTTTGTATTGAGGTGCTACGAACATATGCCCCATCAGAGGTAGGGTCTGAATGTCTGCTCAGGTAGGATTTAGAGCTGCTAGTCAGAGCATGACTTTGGATTCAGAGTCCTGATGGAGAGAGACTAGTCAAGGCAATTATCTTAGCTCTAATGCACCCATAAGCAAAGTTATAAATCCTTTGACCGAAAAACAACTAGCTCCTTTAGAAGGCTTTTGGAAAATATTAAAATATGTCTTTATCTGTACTACAAGCCATCACCAGATTTTACCTGACACTATGACCTTTACATTGTAAGAGAATTCAACTAACCTAGAGGGACACTTCAGAAAACAAGCAGTTTGCTAGTTTGATTACACTTTCCACTATATTGTTTCTTGTAGCCAATTTTTCTCTCATACTTGCAAAAAAGAAACCCCAAACTGAAAGACTTCAAGTGCATTTCCTGCAAAATTGGATGTTTGTTTTCTTACAGTTATTGACTACAGTTTCTCTTAACGTAGTGATTTCTAATGAGCAGGAAAATTGTTCGGGTTAGAATTTATTAGAGGTGTACATGGGCACAAGTGTGCGTGCGTGTGTGTGTGTGTGTGTGTGTGTGTGCGTGTGTGTGTTCAGGGAGCAGTTGTTAAGGTGGAAGAAAAGGTGTGTAGTACCACTTTTTTACATTTCTTTATGGTCTCCCCTGAGCAGTATTTCTATTAAAAACATCAGTTTGAACCTGAAGTAATAGCCAGCTTAGATAATTAAGTTTATAAACAAAATACTGATGCAATATGATGGTTGCAGAAAATTGAACTGATTTATGAGAAGTATTACAGAATTTAAAAAATTAATACTAGCTTGTAATGTGTCAAAGTATTTTTTCAAACACCAAGCCATGAAATCTTCCAGAACACGGTAGGAAATTCCCTCTTCAAACTCATTCCTTCCTAGGGCAGCACATTTGCACTTTTTGTGTGAGTCAGTGGTGTTGGCTTCAAATTCTTTGGCATTTTCACCCTTGATAAGAATGCAGTAGTAATAACAGCAAGTTCTTACAGAACATAGAGGCATCAAACTTTTAAATCTCTCATTGTACATCGAAATGTTCTATCTTACCTTTCTCTTTTTGTCTCTCTCTCTCTCTCTCATATATTTTCTCTTTTTTTCACACACCCAAGCAGATCTCTTCAGAAGAGTTAAAATGGGGGGAAAAAACAAGACTCAATTTTTATTCGCTCAAGCATGGGACAAAAACTTTTAAGTGGCAAAAATTGAACATTTATTCCAAAATATCAAAGTAAAATAAATACTCCAGGAAAATGAGTTATATATTTTATCTCTGAGTGACCTCCCCCAGAAAATCAATGTATATATGTGCAAGATGTATGCAGTCCTCACTACAGGAAACTAGATGTCTGCTATTCAGTGAAAATCTGTCAATTCTTCTGTGCAACTTGGAGTTTCTTTGTTTAAATAATATCAAATTCTACTTAAATCATATTACTAAAAGTGTTCTAATTTTCTTCACTGGAGAAATACACTATGGTTGAGGTTTAAAATGGTACCACATTGTACAAAATAGTAGGGGTCTTGATCTATAATAATTCCATCAGAAAACTTCATATCTGGATTTGATTTCATAGCTTCTCTTTCTTGTTGTCTAAATCATTAATTATAAGTTTATATTTAAATGGTGATTCTGCTGTGCAAATGGAATAAACTGTAGCACTAAGTAAACAGAAATGATTTAACTATGGCTTATGATCCAGTTTGCCTTAAAAATTCCATTCCTTATTTTGGGTTTTTGTGTTTTCCTCCCTGTTATTTCTTAATGCACTACTAACAGTTGTCTCTCTCTTCCATATTAGTTAACCACATTAATTCATCAAATAAAATATGTACAGCCTCTGACATTTTCTTTAGAAGATGATTTTGTTGCCATGGTGGCTTTTAGCTTGGAGATTTCTGACATTAGTTGGATCTCATTGTTTCTTCTAGCCCTTTTAATTTTTTATTGGATAATAAAATCAATGACTGTCACTCAGATTAACAATTAACCAATTCATGAAAACCTATAAAGAACTAATCAGATTATGTGATTTTTTTCTCTGATTGAAATTTGAATTAGATGTGATTTCACTTTTTATATGGTAGCTACTTTCACTTGTTAAAGGATTTTCTTAGAGAAAGAAATGGTTAAGAAGGATATAATTAGATAGAAGAATGAATGCAACACAAATATTAGTAGCAGGTTTTCTTAAAGTATTTTTTGTCTTTGTTGACATTTAGTATCTTTGAATATATTCTGTTTTTAGGTAAAATATTGCCTGTCTAAATTATTATAAAATTTAGAAATTTTCAAAACTTCAGGAAAAAATTAAAATATATATTTTAGATAAGAATTAAATAAAATGAAACTCCAAAACAGATAGCCTTACCAGAGAATTAGAGAAAAACCTCTGTCTACTATTAAGCCTGTGTCTATAATGCAAACAATGATGTTTATTATTTCCATTTTTTTCTCTGTATAGAGCATAGTTCAGTTAAATCCTCTTAAGAATCTAGCAAGGGCATGAAGTTAGCTTAATTGCACTGGGTATCAATGTACATTTACTTACAACAAACATTCTAGTCAATTATCTGAACATTATGCAGTCTTGACTTTTTAAATTATTGGTAATCCATGAAAAATAATAAATATAAGATGCTGATTTTTTAATATAAGGATTAACAATGTAAAAGAAAGAAAAATTGAAATAGCATGAACCTTTGAATTTTTTTCAAATGTTGCTATTATACATGTGCCGTTCATATATGTATAAATAATAATAAGATAACAAGGAAGAAAGTAACTGCCCTCAATCCTTGAACTTTATTGTTATCACAACCTAAGAAATAGTCTTAAATTTTTCTGCATACAACAACAAACATATATAATAGAAAAGCTTTATAATGCCAATAGACTACTGAAACACATAGCACTTATCCTAAGTATATATTAATATGTCCAGCTAATTCAAATAGGTCCTTGTAAGATATCTCCTAGTTTAATTATCATGAACATTATTTGAAAGCTCTCCATACCACAGCATGTTAGGTGAGTGCTTTAGTCAGGGTTCTCCAGAAAAAAACAGAACCAATAGGATAGATAGATAGACAAACAGATAGATAGATAGATAGATAGATAGATAGATAGATAGATAGATACATAGATAGATAGATAGATGATAGATAGATAGATAGATAGATAGATGATAGATAGATATTCTAAAGAACTGTTTTATACAATTATGGAGGCTGAAAAGTCCTAAGATGTTCAGGGTGAGTCGATAAACTGGAGACCCAAGAGAGCTGATGATGTACTTCCAGTTCAGGTTCAAAGGCCTAAGAAACAGCAGAGTTCTGCTTCAAAGGTTGCCAGAATCAAGACACAAGAAAAACTGATGTTAGGCAGAAGAAATTTTATTACTTGCGGGAGAAGCCTTTCGGTCCTATTTAGGATTTTAACTGATTAGATGAGGCCTACCCATGTTAGGAAGGGCAATCTGCTTGGCTCAGTCTATTGATTTAAATGTTAATCTCACCCAAAACAACCTCTCAGAAAAACTTAAAATAATGTTTGTTCAAATATCTGGATACACGTGGCCCAAATTGACACATAAATTAACCATCATAGTTGCGAATGAAAATTTCACATTCTAATTATCACATTTGATAAAATAAGATACAATTCTCAGTTTGCTAACCTATCATTAGTAAACTATAGTAAAAATTATTTCTAAATTATGTATTTTCAATGATTGCTACATATAAAATGCAATGAAATTATGTTTACATTGAAACACTTTATTCTTAAAGGGGAAGGAATCAAATATTTACTGAGCACCATCTATGTAACAGGTATTGTACATACTTCATAACTAAAAACTATAAGTGAGTTTTCTATAATTATTTTAGTAATAAAAGTGAGGTCTGTATTCCAAGTAAGGAGTAAGATTCATTGTCAAAACTTTCCCCACAAGTTATCATTATATCTCAAGGAATATTCTCAGGATGGTCCAGAGTTTGTGTAAAGAAATCAAACTTTCAGAACAACAGTAGTAAGATGGAAGAATTCTCCAACTAAGACAGTAACTTAATAACAATATATTAGCCAAAAAGCTTTACCAGGACTTCAGAAACCAGCTTAGAAGTTGCCATACCCCAGGCATGCACCAAGCCAAGAACAACTGAAATGAAACAATTAAGAAAAGCTACTGTATTTCATTCATGATAGCCCTCCACAAACCAGCACAGCTTGGTGCAATAAAGAAAAAATGCCCAAAACACAGCTTCTGTCTTGGGAGAGAGAAAGAAAGGGGAACACACATCCAATGTTCTGGCTTTTCATGGGGCTGCCTGAGGAATTGGTTTCTGTCTCACCTGACTCAGAGCAGTGATGGAGATATAGCATACTTTGGATGCCTAGGGGTCACTAAGAACAAAGGAGAGCTCTGGAGTTTGTGGAAGCACCAGAGAAACCACAGTACCACAGATAGGTGCTAGAAGAAGCAAGTTATTACAAGATTCTGAAAAAGGACCAAACATACATCTCTAATTGGAAATTTATATGCACAATTCCAGAGAAAATGCATGCCCCCAAAAAGTTTGAAAGGTACCCAGAATAATTAGCTGGGATGATAGGTGAAAGTCTTCTCTTGTATGAAACCAGTCCATGAAGACTGGGAGAGATGGCTACTTTATCAAATACCCAAATCTCAGAAAAAAAAAAAAAATCACGTGAAGAAACAGGGAAGTATGGCTCAATCATGGAAGCAAAATAAATATTCAGAAACCAGCACTAAAAATGGAGATCAATGCATTACCTGAAAAAGAATTTAAAATAAATAAAACTCAGCAAGCTACAAGTAAACACATATAGATAGAAACCTTAAAAATCAGGAAAATAATGCACAAAATGAGAATATCAATAAAGAGATAGAAACTATTAAAAAGAACCAGACATAAATTCTGGAGCTGAAGAATACAACAAATAAATGAAAAAATTGACTAGAGGAGTTCAACAGCAGACATGGTCAAGCAAAAGAAAAAAAATCAGTGAATTTGAAAAGACCTCATTTGATAATATCACATCAGAAAAGCAAAAAGAAAAAAGAATGAAGAAAAGCCTATGGGACTTATGGGGTACTGTCAAGTGGGAAAATATATACATTACAGAAGTCCCAGGAGGAAAAGAGAAAGAGAAAGGGTACAAAGAGCTTATGTGAAGAAACAATATCTGACATCTTTCCAAATCTGAGGAAGAAAATGGACATCTAAATTCAGTAAGCTTAATGGTTCAAACTAGGGTGAATCCACAGAGGCCCACAGCTAGACACATTATAATCAAAATGTTGAAAGTGAAAAGCAAAAAAAAATTATCTTGAAAGCCCCAAGAAGAAAGCAACTCATGACATATAATGGAGCTCCCATAAGATTATCAGTGACTTATTCAGCAGAAATTCTATAGGCCAGAAGGGAGCACCCAAATATATGAAGCAAATATTGAATGGAAGGGAAAATAGGCAGCAGCACATTAACAGTAGGTGATTTCAATACCTCGCTTACAACAATAGGTCAAACAACCAGGCAGAAGATCAATAAAGAAACAGAGAACTTGAACAACACTACAGACTTAATGGACCTAACAAACATATAGAGAATATTCTACCCAACAACAGTGAATGAACTATTCCAAGAGTTCACAGAACATTCTCCAGGATAGGTAAGATGTTAGGTCACAAAGCAAGTCTTAACACACTTGAAAAGATTGAAATCATATAAAATGTTTTTTCAGACTACAATTAAATGGACATAGAATCAATAACAAAAGAAACATTGTAAAATACACAAGTATGTGGAAATTAAAAAACATACTCTTGAACAACCAATAAGTCAAAGAAAAAAATCGCTAAGAAAGTTAAATGCTATTTTGAGACAAATGAAATGGAGAACTCAACATGCCAAAGTTATGTATGAAGCAAAAACAATACTAAAAGAAAAGTTTGTAGTGGTAAACACCTACATTAAATAAAAAGAAAGCTCTCAAATCAACAACCTGACTTATTTTCTATGCAAGCTTCTTGTTACTATGCAAGTAAGAAGAAAATAAGAACAAACTAAACTCACAGTTAACTGAAGAAAGTAAATAATAGAAATTAAAGCAGAAAAAGGTGAAACAGAATAGAAAAAGTGATACAAAATAAACAGAACTAAGAGTTGGATTCTTGAAAAGATCAATATATTTGGCAAACCCTTAACTTGTCTAACTAAAAGAGACTAAGTAACAAAAACCGAATAATAAAAATAAAATACAATAAATTTAAAAAATGAAAGAGGAGACACTACAGCTAATGCCACAGAAATAAAAAAGATCATAAGAGACTACTATGAACAATTACATTGCCAACAAATTGGATAGCCTAGAAGAAATGGATAAAGTCCTAGAAATATACAACCTATCAAGATTGAATCATGAATAAATAGAAAATTTGAATAGACCTATGATTATTAAGATTAAATCAGTAATCAAAAACCTCCCAACAAAGAAAAGCCCAACACTAGATGGCTTCACAGGACAACTCCGCCAAACTTTTAAAGAAAAATTGACACCAATCCTTCTCTAACTCTCCAAAAAATTGGGAGGAAGGAATGCTTTGAAACTTATTTTATGAGGCAAGGAATATGCTGATACAAAAGCCACACAAAGATACTACAAGAAAAGAAAACTACAGAGTAGTAACCAATATCCCTAATGAATATTTTATTAGTCAAGGTTCTTCAGAGAAACAGAATCAATACAATGGATGGATACATACATGCATACATACACACACACACACACACACACACACACACACACACACAGAGAGATTTATGAGATTTATTATAAGAATTGGTTCATATGCTTATGAGGCCAAAAAGTGCCATTATCTGCCATCTGCAAGCTGGAGAACTAGAAACGCCAGTAGTATAATTTAGTCCAAGTCCAAAAGTCTGAGAACCAGAGGAGCTGATGGTGTAAGTCCTAGTCCAAGTCCAAAGGCTTAATAACCATGGGAGTGGAAGGAGGAGATGAATGATGTAAACATGAGTCAGAGTCTGAAGGCCCAAGAAGCAGAAGCACTAATATCTGAGAGCAGAGAAGATGAATGCTCCACTTCAAACAGGAAGAAAATACCCCTTTGTCTTTTTCTTCTATTCAAGATATAATGTATTAGATGATGCCCACCTCAATTGATAAGGGCAATCATCTCTACTCAGGCTGCTGATTCAGATGCTAATCTATTTCAGAACCACCCTCAAAGACATACCCAGAAATAATGTTTTACCAACTATCTGGGCATCCTTTAGCACAGTCACATTGACATATATAATTAACCATCACAAATATTGATGCAAAAATCCTCCACCAAATACTAGCAAACTGAATTCAACAGCAGATTAAAAAGATTATACATCATGACCAAATGGGATTTATTCCTAAAATGCAAGCATGGCTCAACTTACAAAAATCAATCAATGTGATACACCGTTAAAAGGCAAGCATGGCTCAACTTACAAAAATCAGTCAATGTGATCTACCACATTAACAGTAAGGACAAAAACCATATGATTATCTCAATAGATACAGAAAATGTACATGACAAAATTTAACACCCATTCATGATTAAAACACTCAACAAAATAGGAGTAGAAGAAATTACCTCAATATAATAAAAGCCATATATGAGAAGCCCACAGCTAACATCATACTCATTGATGAAAACATAAAACCTTTTCCTGTAAGATTAGGAACAAGACAAGGAGATGTCCACTTTCATGACTTCTATTCAACATGATAATGGAGTTCCTAGCCAGAGCAATTAGGCAAGAAAAAGAAAAAAAGGTGACCAAATTGGCAAAAATAAATAAATGTATCTCTGTTCACAAATACCATGATCTTTTATGTAGAAAACCCTAAAGATTCCACACACACACATACAAAAAAAAATCTGTTAGAACTAGTGGAATAATTCAGCAAAGTTACAGGATACAAAGCCTACACAGAGAAATCAGTTTTATTTTCATACACTAACAATGAACAATCTGAAAATGAAATTAAGAAAACAGTCCCACTTACCATAGCATCACAAAGAATAAAATACTTGGGAATAACTTAACTAAGAAGGGAAAAGACTTGTACATGGAAAACTACAAAGCATTGCTGAAAGAATTGAAGGACGACAAAAACAAATGCAAAGATATCTCACACTCATGAATTAAAAGATTTATTAATATTGTGAAAGTGCCTATATTACCCAAACCAGTATACAGATTCAATACAATCCCTACCAAAATCTCAAAGCATTTTTCTGCAAAAATAGAAAAAAAAAAAACCCTAAAATTAATATGGAATCTCAAAGGACACCAAATAGCTGAAACAAACTTAAGAAAGAAAAACAAAGCTAGAAATCTTACAGTTCCTGTCTTCAAAACATATTACAAAGCTACAGTAATCAAAACATTATGGCACTGGCATAAAGGCAGACATATAGACTAGTGGAACGTAATAGAAAGCCCAGAAGTATATGGTTAAATAATCTCCAATAATGGTGTGAAGACTACACCATGTGGAAAGGGTAGTCTCCTCAACAAATGATGTTGCAAAAACTGAATATCCACATGAAAAGAATGAGATTAGATCCTTACTTTACACCATATACAAAAATCAACTTAAAATGGATTAAAGACTTAAGTGGAAGACCTGAAACTGTAAAACTATTAGAAGAAAACATAGGAAAGAAGCATCTTGATATTGGTCTGGGCAATAATTTTTTGGATATGACACAAAAGCACAGGTTAACAAAAGCAAAAATAGAACAATGGAACCACATCAAACTTAAAAACTTCTACACAGTAGGCCAGGTGTGATGGCTCAGGCCTGTAGTCCCAGCGCTTTGGGAGGCTGAGGCAGGTGGATCACTTGAGGTCAGGAGTTTGAGACCAGCCTGGCCAACATGGTGCAACCTGTCTCTACTAAAAATACAAAAACTAGCCAGGCATGGTGGTGGCTGCCTGTAATCCCAGCTACTCAGAGGCTGAGGCAGCAGAATCACTTGAACCCAGGGAGATGGAGGTTGCAGTGAGCCGAGATCATACCACTGCACTCCAGCCTGAGCTACAGAACAAGACTCCATCTCAAAAAAAGAAAAAAAAAACAAACTTCTGCACAGCAAAGGTATCAACCAACAGAGTGAAAAGGCAACCTATGAAATGGGAGAAAACACTTGTAAAACATATATTTGATAAGGAGTTAATATCCAAAATATGTACAGAACTCATAGGACACAACAGCAAAAAATCAAATAACCTAATTAAGAATGGGCAAGACTCAGCCAGGCGCGGTGGCTCACACCTGTAATCTCATCACTTTGGGAGGCCGAGGCGGGCAGATCACAAGGTCAGGAGATTGAGACCATCCTGGCTAACACGGTGAAACCCCATCTCTACTAAAAATACAAAAAATTAGCTGGGCATGGTGGTGGGTGCCTGTAGTCCCAGCTACTCGGGAGGCTGAAGCAGGAGAATGGCTTGAACCCAGGAGGTGGAGCTTGCAGTGAGCCAAGATCACGCTACTGCACTCCAGCCTGGGCAGAAGAGCAAGGCTCCGTCTCAAAAAAAAAAAAAAAAAAGGGCAAGACTCAAATAGACATTTCTCCTAAGTAATACAAATAACCAATAAGCATATAAAAAGATGCTCAACATCATTAGTCACCAGTGAAATGCAAATCAAAACACAGTGAAATATTGCTTCACATTTATACGTCCACTACTTAAAAAAACACATAAAATAACAAGTGTTGGGAAGGATGTGTAGAATTGGAGACTTTGTGTGCTGATCATGGGCGTATAAAACAGTGTAACTGCTCTGGAAAGCAGTATGAACATTCCTCAAAAAATTAAAAATAGAATTACCACATGATCCAGCAATACCACTTCTGGGTATATATCTCCAAAATAATTGAAAACAGGATCTTGAAGAGCTGTTCCCACACCTATGATCATTGCAGCATTATTCACAATAGCTAGGAAGTGGAAGTAACCTAAATGTCCATTGATGGACAAAGAAAATGTGAAAATGAAAAGAAAATGTGGTATATTCATACAAGGGAATATTATTCAGTCTTAAAAAAGAAAGACATCTTGTCACATAGTAAAAACACAGATGAATCTTGAAGACGTTATACTTCATTATAGGTGAAATAAGCCAATCACAAAATGACAAATGCTAAATGAAATAAGCCACAAAATGCTAAGTGAAATAAGCCAGTCACAAAATGACAAAGACTGCATGGTTCCACTTATAGGCGTCATAAAAAATAGTCAAACTCTCAGAAACTAAAAGTAAAGTAGATGGTGCTAGGGACCAGGGAAAGGGGTAAGATAGGATTTATTGTTCGGTGGATATAGAGTTTCAGTTTTTCAAGGTGAAAATTGTCTGTAGAGCTACCGAAGAACAACATATACATATTGTTCCTATGTCTATCCTAGATTCTCAGTCTATTCAAACTTAACTTATTTCTTAAGGCCCTATTCATTCCCCTCCTTTTCATTAAAGCCATATAAAGTTCATATATATAAAACTACTGTACTGTACACTTAAAAATCACTAAGGTGGTAAATTTTCGTTAAGATGGTAAATTTTATGATATGTGCTTTTTACTAAAATAAAAAAAGAAAGATTTCAAAAAGTAATTTTAGGCCTAGGATATTAAATATGCAGTCTACAAAGTTATTTAGAATGCATCATCTTATTTTCATAGGGTCATTCTATTTATTTCAGCTAAAATAGAAGAGCAAACTGATATAGAAGCATACAAGATTTGTAGTGAGTTGAAATCTCTGGAAAAAAACCATAATTTCACCACATACAAGTTCTAGGACATAAACCAAATGATATTACCTCTCCAAGCCAGTTTTTTTGTTTGTAATAAAAGAAAATAGGATAATGTTATTCACTACTTAGTATAAGGATTAAATGGAGTAATGTGCCTGAGTTGTCTAGCCTGTGTCTGATCATAGGAGACAATGAATTTTATTTGCCCTTTCTCTTTTGCTTTCAATTCACTAAAAATTGATTAGGCACCCACTCAATTTTTAGTGAATTGAAAGAAAAAACATTCCAAAACTATAAATGGGGGATTACTAGTTACATGAGAAATTACTTAAGAAATTATCAATTTTTATGTAAAAGTTAATGATGATTAAGTTATTACAATGTGCTAAGCACTTTATATGCATTATAGCTTTATATCATATCATTTTGACAACAAACATGAAAAGGGCACTGTTATTATTCCCATTACCAGTAAAGAACCTGAGGCTTCAAGGATCTAAGTGATATCCAAGATCCCAACTATCAATAGTAAGAGCAGAGCTTCAACTGACTCTGAGTTAACTCTAAAGCTCAAGCTCCCAGCTGCTGCTGTACTATACTGTACATGGAGGATGAGCTCAAATGTGTAAAGCAGGCTTGCACAGAAGAAGAAATCAATACAAATGTGAACACTGTTTGTCTTTGGGTAAGGATAAGAGAACGGGGAAATGTGTAGCAAAGCTCCTTCCCTTCCTGTCCACTTCTAAATTTCCACCTCTTTCCAGACCTCCCACACAATGAATTATATAAAGTTTATCCAATTTCTCTCTCAGTTTTAATATCTTATTATTTAAGTTCTTCTAAAATGCTTTACAAATAGGAAATAAGTGCAGACTTGAACGATTGATAGTGGTTTTAATGAAAAAGGGAGAATGGACGGGATCTTGAGAATGGATTAAGTTTAAATAGATTGAGAATCTAGGAATTGGCTCTGAGGTAGAAATAAGAGGACTTTTGTAACCAATAACAAAATTAGTCATTCTAGAGCAGAGGTTTTGCTTTGAAAAAGTTCAGCTGAAACACATAAGGTGTCCAGTACACAACTTCAGACCATTTATGAACCAGATCACTGAGTATTAAATCATCTTGAAGAAAAATAGATGTTACTTAGGACTGTTGGACTGCAACAGTGTCCAGAGCAGCAATCCCAGAAGAAGCCTGGTAGACCCAGGAAGTAAATGCTAAATCATTTTATGTATGTGTGAAATGTCCAATTGAAACAGAAATATCGATAAAAATGATTTCCAGCAGGACAGAGATAGAATAAAAGAGAATTTCTGCCTATCTTCAAATGAATCAGACTCTTACTTTTGCTCATAGTTTTGTTTCACCTAAAATTGTAGGATGAGGCAGAGGCAGTAAGCTTTCAAAAAATGCCCATCGTATCTCTAAGTAGAAATTAGGAGGCATTGTGCTCTCAGATCTACTCTGTTGTATTGATCTTGCTCTTTGTAAGTATACACAGGCAGATGCCACAAGCACACCACACACACACAAACACACACACACAGATTTTTTTTTGTTGAAATGGAGGAAAGTAAAGAGAAAAATAAAAACAAAAAAACTATGTTTAGGCTGTTTTCCTCCACTAAGTAAAAGTTATATGTTGCTGGTTGGTTTATGTCTTGCCTTAGATCTTTGCTTGAACTTGAGTTCATCTCATAGGTGTCATATTGTAGTTAAGAAAAGCAATATTCACTTTGTTAATGTTCTGAAACACAGTAGGAAGTCTGTTATTCTTTTCATCTTTCAGCAGAAATTATGTAATTAACACCTAAATAACTGTTATGTATATGTAAATATAGACAGAAATATTTCTAAGTAGAAAATGAATTTTGATTTGTGCTATTTAAGTATTTGCACAGTAATCATACAGAACTTTTTGAAACAGTATATGCTGTGAATTTCTTCTTGGCTACCTGAAGATTTCAACTAAGTAATTTCTTTTTATTTAGTTTAAAAGAATGCTAAGTCAAAAGAGGTAACATAATCTCCAATCTAAGTGGAATCATGTTGTATAGCATTAGTAATTGTTAAACAGAATTAAAATTTGATTTATTGCAATAAAAATTTAAAATTCCCAATTAAAATATTCACCCTGAGAGTATAATGCATTTAATCATATTTTAACTTCTTATTTTTGCTTGTACAATATAAGTCTTAGTACTGATGTATATGAAGATATTAAATGTCATTAATGTTTTTTTACTTACAGGTTATTAACCCATTACCCTCCATAACTTTACAGAGGTTCCTTATGTGTGAAATCACTTCATTGCAATGCCAACCTGGCAGTGCATTAGCCAAGAATCTGCCCTAGCACAAAACCCTCTCTCCCCTCCCCACACACACCCTTGAATGATATTTTTAATTATATTTAACTGTAATGGCATCATAAGAACATTCTAGGATATGTAGAATTGTTCATTAAAGAAAAATATGCCAGTTTCTAAAATTCTTAAATTTTTAGTTCAAGAAGCAAATTTTTCATGATTTTATTCTAATACATTGTAAAGTATCACCCATATTTCCATAAAATGAATATTTCATTTTATGGAGTTAACCAACACATTAATTTGTAAAGTTTAGTTAAACAAGATTTGTTTAGCTTCTATACTTACAACATCAGCCTATCTTATTTCTCACACCATTAATAATACATAAATTGTAATGATGGCATATTTTTTTCTGTTATCTATTCATAACTCTAAAATGTACAAACAGAACATTAGGAATTTCCTGTCTGTTGATTCTAATATATTTCCTCCTATTTAAAAGAAATATAAAATTTAACATCTAAACAGTATTTTTCATATAAAATGAAAATCTGAGAGTTAAGGCTCAATAAAATGAACTTTTCTTACTGAGTGCAAAAAGCCAGGCACAAAAAAAGTTGAAAGACTGTGATTCGGTATACAAAATTTTAAGAAATGCAAACTATTCTACAGTGACATAAAAACAGATAAGTGATAGGCTGGGTGCAGGATAACGAGAATGATGGACTGAAAAGGGGCATGAGAAAACTTTGGGGAGTAATAGGAAAGTCTCATATCTTAATTGTGGTGTGGTTTTCAGTTGTATATGTCTTTTAAAAGTATCAAATTGTACACTTTAAATGGATGTAATTCATTGTACATAGATTACATCTCAATAAAATTTTTTAAAGATAATTTTCACCAAAATTAATCAGCTCTTTAAAAGACATCATCAGCAAAAAGGCATACAGAAAATGCCAAAAATCTAAATTGAATAAAGGAAAACTTACTTTCTTAGGATACATAGTGAGTATTAGAAACCTGGTATAAAGGATTGTTTTTAGAAATAAATTAACTGGATTACTCTATTTACAGGAATAAATTATTTTCAAAAAATATTTCTTCAATTTATTCATTGATACCTAAAATTAAAACTTGCAACTAACTCTTCAAATTGTTCAGCTACAAAATGTGTGTGTGTTTGTTTGTGTGTGTGTGTGTGTGTGTGTGTGTGTGTATTGATGAGTATGTCCATATATGGCGGGGCGGGGAGAGAGAGACAGAAGCTGACAAAGAGAGACAAAATAGAAAGCAAAGTAGCAATAATAGGTAAGCTTACATGAGGTCTCACTTTACTACTCTTTTCAGTTTTTCTCTAGTTTTGGGATTTTCAACGTAAACAGTTGTAAACTGTAATTGGAGACTTATCAAATTCATCTTAATGAGCCTGCTCAGGAAAAGATAATACTTGGTATGAGAACATATTTTATAAGCCATTAAAATAGAAGTATGAGTGGTTCCAAGATGGCCAAACAGGAACAGCTCCAGTCTGCAGTTCCCAGTGTGAGCGACACAGAATACGGGTGATTTCTGCATTTCCAACTTAGGTACTGGGTTCATCTCACTGAGACTGGTTGGACATAGTGGGTGCAGCCCACGGAGGGTGAGCCTAAGCAGGGCGGGGCATTGCCTCACCTGGGAAGTGCAAGGGGTCAGGAGATTTCCATTTCCTAGCTAAGGGAAGCCGTGACAGACTGTACCTGGAAAAAACAGGACACTCACACCTAAATACTGAGCTTTTCCAATGGTCTTAGCAAACGGCACACCAGGAGATTATGTCTCATGCATGGCTTGGCGGGTCCCACACCAACAGAGCCTTGCTCACTGCTAGCACAGCAGTCTGAGATCCACCTGCAAGGCAGCAGCCTGGCTGGCGGAGGGAGTCTGCCATTGCTGAGGCTTGAGTAGGTAAACAAAGCAGCCTGGGAAGCTCGAACCAGGCAGAGCCCACTGCAGCTCAGCAAGGCCTACTGCCTCTGTTGACTCCACCTCTGGGGGCAGGGAATGGCTGAAAAAAAGGCAGCAGACAGAACAGAGCCCTCAGAAATAACTCCGCATATCTACAACTATCTGATCTTTGACAAACCTGAGAAAAACAAGCAATGGGGAAAGGATTCCCTATTTAATAAATGGTGCTGGGAAAACTGGCTAGCCATATGTAAAAGGCTGAAAGTGGATCCCTTCCTTACACCTTATACAAAAATCAATTCAAGATGGATTAAAGACTTAAACGTTAGACCTAAAACCATAAAAACCCTAGAAGAAAACCTAGGCAATACCATTCAGGACATAGGCATGGGCAAGGACTTCATGTCTAAACACCAAAAGCAATGGCAACAAAAGCCACAATTGACAAATGGGATCTAATTAAACTAAAGAGCTTCTGCACAGCAAAAGAAACTACCATCAGAGTGAACAGGCAACCCACAAAATGGGAGAAAATTTTTGCAACCTACTCATCTGACAAAGGGCTAATATCCAGAATCTACAATGAACTCAAACAAATTTACAAGAAAAAAACAAACAACCCCATCAAAAAGTGGGTGAAAGACATGAACAGACACTTCTCAAAAGAGGACATTTATGCAGCCAAAAGACACATGAAAAAATGGTCACCATCACTGTCCATCAGAGAAATGCAAATCAAAACCACAATGAGATATCATCTCACACCAGTTAGAATGGCAATCACTAAAAAGTCAGGAAACAACAGGTGCTGGAGAGGATGTGGAGAAATAGGAACACTTTTACACTGTTGGTGGGACTGTAAACATCAACCACTGTGGAAGTCAGTGTGGTGATTCCTCAGGGATCTAGAACAAGAAATACCATTTGACCCAGCCATCCCATTACTGGGTATATACCCAAAGGACTATAAATCATGCTGCTATAAAGACATATGCACACATATGTTTATTGCGGCACTATTCACAATAGCAAAGACTTGGAACCAACCCAAATGTCCAACAATGATAGACTGGATTAAGAAAATGTGGCACATATACACCATGGAATACTATGCAGCCATAAAGAATGATGAGTTCATGTCCTTTGTAGGGACATGGATGAAATTGGAAATCATCATTCTCAGTAAACTATCAAGAACAAAAAACTAAACACCGCATATTCTCACTCATAGGTGGGAATTGAACAATGAGAACATATGGACACAGGAAGGGGAACATCACACTCTGGGGACTGTTGTGGGGTCGGGGGAGGGGGGAGGGATAGCACTGGGAGATATACCTAATGCTAGATGACAAGTTAGTGGGTGCAGCGCACCAGCATGGCACATGTATACATATGTAACTAACCTGCACATTGTGCACATGTACCCTAAAACTTAAAGTATAATAATAAAAAAATAAAAAATAAATTTAAAAAAAAGGCAGCAGACAACTTCTGCAGACTTAAATGTCCCTGTCTGACTGCTCTGAAGAGAACAGTGGTCCTCCCAGGATGGCGTTGGAGCTCTGAGGACGGACAGACTGCCTCCTCAAGTGGGTTCCTGACCTCCATGTAGCCTAACTGGGAGACACATCCCAGTAGGGGCGGACACCTCATACAGGTGGGTGCCCCTCTGGGATGAAGCTTCCAGAGGAAGGATCAGGCAGCAATATTTGCTGTGCTGCAATATTTGCTGTTCTGCAGCCTTCACTAGTGCTACCCAGGCAAACAGGGTCTGGAGTGGACCTCCAGCAAACTCCAACAGACTTGCAGCTGAGCGACCTGACTGTTGAAAGGAAAACTAACAAACAGAAAGGAATAGCATCAACATCAACAAAAAGGACACCCACACTAAAACCCCATCTGTAAGTCATCAACCTCAAAGACCAAAGGTAGATAAAGCCACAAAGATGGGGAGAAACCAGAGCAGAAAAGCTGAAAATTCTAAAAACCAGGGCACCTCTTCTCCTCCAAAGGATTACAGCTCCTTGCCAGCAACAGAACAAAGCTGGATGGAGAAAGACTTTAACGAGGTGACAGAAGAAGGCTTCAGAAGGTCAGTAATAACAAATTTCTCCAAGCTAAAGGAGGATGTTTGAACCCATCGCAAAGAAACTAAAAACTAGAAACTAAAAAGAAACTAAAAACTAGAAAAAAGATTAGACAAATGGCTAACTAGAATAAACAGTGTAGAGAAGACCTTGACCTGATGGAGCTGAAAACCATGGCACGAGAACTACGTGATGCATGCACAAGCTTCAGTAGCCAATTCGATCAAGTGGAAGAAAGGATATCAGTGATTGAATATCAAATCAATGAAATAAAGCAAGAAGACAAGTTTAGAGAAAAAAGAGTAAAAAGAAATGAACAAAGCCTCCAAGAAATATGGGACTATATGAAAAGACCAAATCTATGTTTGATTGGTGCACCTGAAAGTGATGGGGAGAATGGAACCAAGTTGGAAAACACTCTTCAGGATATTATCCAGGAGAACTTCCCCAACCTAGCAAGGCAAGCCAACATTCAAATTCAGGAAATACAGAGAAAACCACAAAGGTACTCCTCAAGAAGAGCTACCCCAAGACACATAATTTTCAGATTCACCAAGGTTGAAATGAAGGAAAAAATGTTAAGGGCAGCCAGAAAGAAAGGTTGGATTACTCACAAAGGGAAGCCCATCAGACTAACAGTGGATCTCTTGGCAGAAACTCTACAAGCCACAAGGGAGTGGGGGCCAATACTCAACATTCTTAAAGAAAAGAATTTTCACCCAGAATTTTATACCCAGCCAAACTCAGCTTCATAAGTGAAGGAGAAATAAAATCCTTTACGGACAAGCAAATGCTGAGAAATTTTGTCACCACCCGATTTTGTCCTGCCTTACAAGAGCTGCTGAAGGAAGCACTAAACATGGAAAGGAACAACAGGTTATCAGCCACTGCAAAACATGCCAAATTGTAAAGACCATCAATGCTAGGAAGGAACTGCATCAACTAATGGGCAAAAGAACCAGCTAACATCATAATGACAAGATCAAATACACACATAACAAGATCAACCTTAAATGTAAATGGGCTAAATGCCTCAATTAAAAGACATAGACTGGCAAATTGGATAAAGAGTCAAGACTCATCACTGTGCTATATTCAGGAGACCCATCTCACATGCAGAGACACACATAGGCTCAAAATAAAGTGATGGAGGAAGATCTACCAAGCAAATGGAAAGCAAAAAAAAGCAGAGATTGCAATCGTAGTCTGATAAAACAGACTTTAAACCAACAAAGATCAAAAGGGACAAAGAAGGCCATTACATAATGGTAAAGGGATCAATTCAACAAGAAGAGCTAACTATCCTAAATATATATGCACCCAATACAGGAGCACTCAGGTTCATAAAGAAGTCCTTAGAGACCTACAAAAAGACTTATACTCCCACACAATAATAATGGGAGACTTTAACACCCCACTGTCAGACAGATCAATGAGTCAGAAGGTTAACAAGGATATCCAGGACTTGAACTCAGCTCTGCATCAAGCAGACCTAACAGACATCTACAGAACTCTCCTCCCCAAATCGACAGAATATACATTCTCCTCAGCACCACATCACACTTATTCCAAAATTGACTACATAGTTGGAAGTAAAACACTCCTCAGCAAATGTAAAAGAATAGAAATCACAACAAACTATCTCTCAGACCACAGTGCAATCAAATTAGAACTCAGGATTAAGAAACTCACTGAAAACCACACAACTACATGGAAACTGAACAACCTGCTCTTGAATGACTACTGGGTAGATAACGAAATGAAGGCAGAGATAAAGATGTTCTTTGAAATCAATGAGAAAAAAAGACACAACGAACCAGAATCTCTGGGACACATCTAAAGCAGTGTGTAGAGGGAAATTTATAGCACTAAATGCCCACAAGAGAAAGCAGGAAAGATCTAAAATTGATACCCTAACATCACAATTAAAAGAACTAGAGAAGCAACAGCAAACAAATTCAAAAGCGAGCAGAAGGCAAGAAATAACTAAGATCAGAGCAGAACTGAAGGAGATAGAGACACAAAAAACCCTTCAAAAAATCAGTGAATCCAGGAGCTGTTTTTTTGAAACAATCAACAAAATTGATAGATTGCTAGCAAGACTAATAAAGAAAAGAGAGAAGAATCAAATAGACGCAATAAAAAATGATAAAGGGGATATCACTACCAATCCCACAAAAATACAAACTACCATCAGAGAATACTATAAACACCTCTATGCAAATAAACTAGAAAATCTAGAATAAATGGATAAATTCCTGGACACATACACCCTCCCAAGACTAAACCAGGAAGAAGTTGAATCTCTGAATACACCAATAACAGGCTCTGAAATTGAGGCAATAATCAATAGCCTACCAACCAAAAAAAGCCCAGGACCAGACGGATTCTCAGCCGAATTCTACCAGAGGTATAAAGGGGAACTGGTACCATTCCTTCTGAAACTATTCCAATCAATAGAAAAAGAGGGAATCCTCCCTAACTCATTTTATGAGGCCAGCATCATCCTGATACCAAGGCCTGGCAGAGACACGACAAAAAAAGACAATTTTAGAGCAGTATCCCTGATGCACATCGATGCTAAAATCCTCAATAAAATACTGGCAAACTGAATCTAGCATCACATCAAAAAGCTCATCCACCACGATCAAGTTGTCTTCATCCCTGTGATGCAAGGCTGGTTCAACATTCACAAATCAATAAACGTAATCCATCACATAAACAGAACCAAGGACAAAAACCACATGATTATCTCAATAGATGCAGAAAAGGCCTTTGACAAAATTCAACAGCCCTTCCTGCTAAAAACTCTCAATAAACTAGGTATTGATGGAACCTATCTCAAAATAATAAGAGCTATTTATGACAAACCCACAGCCAGTATCATACTGAATGGGCAAAAACTGGAAGCATTCCCTTTGAAAACTGGCACAAGACAGAGATGCCCTCTCTCACCACTCCTATGCAACATAGTGTTGGAAGTTCTGGCCAGGGCAATCAGGCAAGAGAAAGAAATAAAGGGTATTCAGTTAGGAAAAGAGGAAGTCAAATTGTCCCTGTTTGCAGATGACATGACTGTATATTTAGAAAGCCCCATCGTCTCAGCCCAAAAACTCCTTAACCTGATAAGCAACTCAGCAAAGTCTCAGGATACAAAATCAATGTGCAAAAATCACAAGCATTCGTCTACACCAATAAAAGACAGCCAAATCATGACTGAACACCCATTCACAATTGCTACAGAGAATAAAACACCTAGGAATCCAACTTACAAGGGATGTGAAGGACCTCTTCAAGGAGAACTACAAACCACTGCTCAATGAAATAAAGGAGGACACAAACAAATAACCTTCCATGCTCATGGATAGGAAGAATCAATATCGTGAAAATGGCCATACTGCCCAAGGTAATTTATAGATTCAATGCCATCCCCATCAAGCTACCAATGACTTTCTTCACAGAATTGGAAAAAACTACTTTAAAGTTCACATGGAACCGTAAAAGAGCCCACATTGCCAAGACAACCCTAAGCAAAAAGAACAAAGCTGGAGGCATCACACTACCTGACTTCAAACTATACTACAAGGCTACAGTAACAAAAACAGCATGGGACTGATACCAAAACAAACATACAGACCAATGGAACAGAACAGAGGCCTCAGAAATAACACCACACATCTACAACCATCTGGCCTTTGAAAACCTGACAAAAACAAGGAATGGGGAAAGGATTCCCTATTTAATAAATGGTGCTGGGAAAACTGGCTAGCCATATGTAGAAAGCTGAAACTGGATCCCTTCCTTACACCTTATACAAAAATTAATTCAAGATGGATTAAAGACTTAAATGTTAGACCTAAAACCATAAAAACCCTAGAAGAAAACCTAGGCAATACCATTCATGACATAGGCATGGGCAAGGACTTCATGACTAAAACACCAAAAGCAATGGCAACAAAAGCCAAAATTGACAAATGGGATCTAATTAAACTAAAGAGCTTCTGCACAGCAAAAGAAACTACCATCAGAGTGAACAGGCAACCTACAGAATGGGAGAAAATTTTTGCAATCTATCCATCTGACAAAGGGCTAATATCCAGAATCTACAAAGAACTTAAACAAATTTACAAGAAGAAAACAACCCAATCAAAAAGTGGGCAATGGATATGAACAGACACTTCTCCAAAGAAGACATTTATGCAGCCAAAAGACACATGAAATTGCTCATCATCACTGGTCATCAGAGAAATGCAAATCAAAACCACAATGAGATACCATCTCACACCAGTTAGAACGGCGATCATTAAAAAGTCAGGAAACAACAGATGCTGGAGAGGATGTGGAGAAATGGAACACTTTTACACTGTTGGTGGGACTGTAAACTAGTTCAACCCTTGTGGAAGTCAGTGTGGCAATTCCTCAGGGATCTAGAACTAGAAATACCATTTGACCCAGCAATCCCATTACTGGGTATATACCCAAAGGATTATAAATCAGGCTACTATAAAGACACGCACACATGTATGTTTACTGTGGCACTGTTCACAATAGCAAAGACTTGGAACCAACCCAGATGTCCATCAATGATAGACTGGATTAAGAAAATGTGGCATATATACACCATGGAATACTATGCAGACATAAAAAAAGATGAGTTCATGTCCTTTGCATGGATGTGGATGAAGCTGGAAACCATCATTCTCAACAAACTATCACAAGTACAGAAAACCAAACACTGCATTCTTTCACTCATAGGTGTGAATTGAACAATGAGAACACTTGGATACAGGAAAGGGAACATCACACACCGGGGCCTGTTGTAGGGTGGGGTCTGGAGGAGGGATAGCATTAGGAGAAATATCTAATGTAAATGACTAGTTAATGGGTGCAGAAAATCAACATGGCACATGTATACCTAAATACCAAACCTGCACATTGTACACATGTACCCTAGAACTTAAAGTATAATAAAAAATAAAATAAAATAAAATAGAAGTATGAAATTACTAAATACATTGAGTATGAGGAAAAAAACATTGTGAGACAAAGAATATGGACTTTATGGATTTTCATAAAATTTCCATCTGATGTCACAAATGTTTATATTGGGAAATCTGGTTATTGAATTATATTGTAGAAGTATAACACTAAATAATTAGTGGCTATAAGCATAAGCTCTGCAATCTCTTTCTTCTTGATTCCTTGCTATCTAACTTCCTTTAAACTGACTGACCTTATATGTAAAATGGGGAGCCTAAAAGTACCTACCTCAAGGTTTTTGTAAAGATT